>NC_000013.11:92919645-93222675 GCF_000001405.40 Homo sapiens | reverse complement strand
TAAGAAGAGAACAAAAACATTAGGTAGCATCGTGGAACCCAGGTGAGGAGATTTTCAAACATAAAACAAATTGCAGTGGACAAGAAAGAGATGGAGATAATGGTACTTGGACAATGATAAGGAAGCTTACTGGAAATTTTGAGAGAAACATTTTAGTATAGTAAACTGGGTGGATGCTAAACCACATGGAATCGTGTGTGAAGTAGGTGGAAAGAATATGGAAATACCAGGTAAAACTGATTAGAATGTGGTAACTGTATGTGGAAGGGGCAGAGAGGTAGTCAGGAATGCTTTCCAGAAGTTTCTAAAACTTCAGGGAAGAATGAGTGGACATAAAAAGAGAATGAAATCCAATATGATCTTACTGGGTTGGTTGATTTTAAATTTTTTTTCTCTTATCTGCATTTTTCATGTTTTCTACAGTAAAGATGAGTCCTTGGTTATGAGACAAAAAATATTGTTTTGACATGAATATGTCACACGTTTAACATAAATACAAATTATAGCATTTGGTTCATGTTTTACAAAATAAAAAGGTCTTACCCTATCTCATGTAAGTAAAACAATTGGCTGTTAATATGTTTCTGAATCAAATAATAACTCTGAAGTATGAAATGTCTTGTGTTAATTTTTTAAAAGCCTTGGGTTTATAAAAAAAATAAAAAGCAGAGCTACAGCAGAATTTATCATCCTTTTGCTCAGTTATAAAAATCATGAATGAAAATAATAGGTGAATTTTAGTTTTTTCTTAGTATTTTTTAGATCAAAGTAGGACAAATAACTTCAAATAAAATCTTAGGAAAACAGGAGAATGGACTTCAAGTGTCTATTCCACATCTCAGCTTGGCACAAATCAAAATCGCTTAGTTAACCTGCCTCTTGAAAAACAGGGCCTGTAATGAAAAAGCTGTCAGAAATTTAACAACAGTAGCTCTGCCAGGTGCCTGGATAATGGGAAGGTTGCTGAGTTACAGAGAAAGAAAAGGTAAACCTGGGTGAATAATGACCAGAAATGGTGAAAATCTTTCATTTCCATCTTATGGTTTATATCCAATGAAATACTAATAGTTCATTTAACATTTATTGAGCCTTAAACATATACCTAGTGCTAATATAAACCAATTAAAATTATATCTTTAGGGCAGCTGAGAACAAACTGGGTTACTAATGATCTCTTGGGGGGAAAACCAAACACCATGGGGCAGCAGATTCTTCTTGTCTTGCAATATTCTTCTAAGACTCTGAAGCCAGAACTGTTTGGCTTCAAGGAAGGGAATCATGTGATCTACTTAATCAGATTTTCTCCTAAAAGTTATGACAGGGTTTATCCAAGAGAATTGAAAGGACTCTAATTATTTAATTATGTTTAGTCTTCATATATGTCAGAAACTTAGACAATAAAAATATTCCATATAATCTTAAGATTTACTCATCGTTACCTAAAATACTACTATCAATAGTCAAGGACACAGAATAGAAAATGTATTAAGATATCACAATGATTTAAAATACTATTTTCAGGCCAGGTGCAGTGGCTCACACCTATAATCCCAGTACTTGAGGCCAGGAGTTTGAGACCAGCCTGGGCAACATATCGAAATCCTATTTCTACAAAATACACAAAAATTAGCTGGGTGTGGTGGGGTGCACCTATAATCCCAGCTACTTGGGAAGCTGAGGTGGGAGGATCACCAGAGCCTGGGAGGTCAAGGGTGCAGTGAGTGGTGACAGTGCACTGCATTCCAGCCTGGGTGACAGTAAGAGCCCATCACAAAAACTAAAATTAAATAAAATACTATTTTTAAATTTTCATATATATTAATGACCCAGGAGTCTACTCTTCATTGATTCTAAGTGATTTTCATGCCTAGAACTACATCTTAGGTATTAAATATATTTAAATATTGAGTAACCAAATATTTACTTTCAAAAATTGCTGTTAAGACTATGCCTAGGAACAATCTTGACAAATGTACTACTGGCTAAGCATCATTTCATAACATCATTAGGAAAGTGTATTGCATAGCAGGAAGAGTTTCATTTTGACTTGAAGGCTCACAATATTAATAGATGCGTTTGACAATGCCATTATTTGAAGCTCACACATTTTTGAAGTGTTTCCAAATCAGATATGTAAATGTAAGAGTGACAAAGGTGAAAAACCTATCACAAATGAATAAACTTGCATTTTTGTAGTTAATAAAAGATCGTCTAACTTTGTCTTACTTGTTATAAATTCAGATATTAATGTTATGAGAGATGATTCTGTAGCTAAGCAGTAAATTTGACATACCTGGATTATTAAAACCATGCTTCTTGCCAGTCATTATTCTGGTTGTTTGGCTTTTGTGAAGGATGAATGAAGCTTTGCATAGTTTTTGGATCATCTGGCATCATAAACAATGGCATTCCTTAAGGCAAGTGGATAACAACACAGGCTTATTCGGTAGGGAATAGCTCTTCACATGATGCTAACTTTCGTCAATGGAACATTTACTCTTTATTAAAATGGTTTCACAGATTTAAAGGCCCTGAGTTAATTATCTATCATTAATTATTTTGACCTTAAATAGGCAGTATGACAGACTTAGTTTTTGGAAAACACTGATAAAATTTTATGGGAATATTTTACGGGAAAACCCATAAAATATTGTTTTTATTTCCTACTACCTGCAGGCCTCTGCTCTTGTAACTGTTTTCTATGCAACATCAGCTTAGAAGGCACTTGCTCAGAAGGAGCAGAAAGATATAATTTTTTGATGAAGCTTTTTAAAAATTTTAATATAAACTAACATAAGAAGATGAAAACAAAAAATTAATTAGATAAACAAATTACAAAATTGTTTGACTTGTTTGATTAGAAAAAAAACAAGAAATTTTAAGATACTAATATCACTAAACCTTGCTATCTATGATGATATATTGATATGACATTACTTTTAATAATTGAAACCAATCTGAATATTCTAAAATTAAATAGCATACTCAAAGCTTTTAATTTGAGAAGTTTTCTAATAACTTCAAAATACAATAATTAAATTCATTCAATATTATTGTAAATTACCATAGATACTAGCAAAAAAAATTAGAGTGAAAATTTTGAATGGATTGTCTGCTTAATCTAGTGGTATATGGAAGTCAATAAAATTTATTTGTTTTCTTGTTATACCATAAGGCAGTATCATTTCAGTTAGCTTTTCTCTATTCATTGGCTATAGTCACATACATCCCAGTTAGAAGCCATAAAAATGACTATTGTTTGGTCATAAGAAAGGGTAGGAGAGGGCCTGGCATGGTGGCTCACGCCTGTAATCCCAACACTTTGGGAGGCCAAGGCGGGTGGATCATGAGATCAGGAGTTCAAGACCAGCCTGGCCAACATGGTGAAACCCCATCTCTACTAAAAATACAAAAATTAGCTGGGCGTGGTGGTATGAGTTTGTAGTCCCAGCTACTCGGGAGGCTAAGGCAGGAGAATTGCTTGAACTCTGTAGGCAGAGGTTGCAGTGAGCTGAGATCATACCACTGCACTCCAGCCTGGGTGACAGAGTGAGACTCTGTCTAAAAAAGAAAAAAAAAAAAAAATAGGAAAGAAAGACAGGGTAGGAGAAAACAGCCAGGTTGATGATATTAATATACCATTCTACAAAGAAAAACTCAAAAATCTTAATGGAACCAAGTCAACAACATCAGTCCGGTAACATACCAACAACCAGGCTGATTCTTTTATAATGTCTGATTCTTTTATAATGAATGTCATCTATTAGGCCATTTAAAAGAAAATATTCCATTCTTATTTACGTAGGTTCTCAAACTCCAACCATTCCCCTTCATGATTGGAGTGAATATACGTGGACATCAGAAAGACAAAGAAAATTTGTTTCTTCAACTTAGTCATCAGTATGAATAAGTACAAGAACTAAGCAATAAAATCTGCTTTCTACTAAGTCAGGAAAACAACTCTGCCATATGGCCAGACAAACCTGTGGCATATTCTTTGTCAATGCCAACATTTTCAATTAAGATTTTTATGCATAAGTGATTTTGTTTTAGTTTAGATTCCTTAAAATGATCACAAACATACTTCCATCTTCCACATTGAGGAAAGTTTCCTAACCATTGTGTGACTACATTAAGCCCAACTGTGTCACATTCTGGGTTTACAGCCTGCATAATAAATATCAACTATTAATAATTTTTAGACCTATGGATAGGAAAATAGCACTGATCTTGATCTCTATTGTTTACTGGTAAGTCAAAATCTAAGCTTAATTTTGCTGAATTTACATCAAACATGTAAGGCTGACATCCTATGTTCTTTATCAGCCACAGAGAATTCTATTGTATTTAGCTTCATATAACACATCATTGTTTTTTACTTGAAGAATATGGTCTATTTGCCTTCACAATCTGAACTCACTTCCAGGCAATCATTTTTAAAACTTGCTTCTATATTAACTTCGCACATTTTATTACATTTCAGGGGGAAATAATTAAATGTTTGTGAGAAAGCAAATCTGGTGCATATTTTTTAAGTTACTTGAAGCAAAAAAAAAAAAAAGTCTGAGCTAGCCGGTTGGAAGTTCCATGTACTAATGATCTGTTTCCAGGGAGGTGTCTGAAGCAAGCAAGCAAGCATAGAAACAGGCGGCGATGTGCCTTTGGATTTCTCCTGATGTTCATTTGCAATCACAGCCAATCAATGTTGAGGACATTACTAAGCAATCCAATGCTGTTTGCTTTTAATTGGTAAACTGTCTTCCAAAAAAAACATCTTTGGGCTTCACAACACCCTAGTCATAGAGCCATTAGAGAATGAATGTCTTTACTGTACAGGAGGACCTCTATGAATAATGAATAGGGCTCTATTTTTCCTGGGAAACAAACATGTACCGGCATGTTCGTGGTAATGAACAGTATTGTGAGTGTGCATAGCATAGAAGGACACTAAATCAGCTCTGACTTCTACCTTAATTTAAGTAGATAACTGATTTTCAAACCCCATGGAGGGTTAAGCCAGCTTATTTTAAACTTGTAACTTGCTGCCTGACTTATATGTTGCTTTTGCAAGTTCAAAAATAATGATTTAATACAAAAATTGAAGAGATGAAGGATCATGTTACAGTCTCTAAGGGGCAAGATAGGCTTACACAAATTTGAGAGGAAAAGAAAAGAACATTTGAATACAGTAAGAAACCAGAATTTCATTTTTACTTTTACACTCGAAAACATAGTGATCATGATTCTCTGGGGCACACATAAAAAATACTTTAGACTGTGCAAATTACAACCAAATTTAGATATTTGCCCAAGAAATATTTCAAAAAATAACTAACGAGAAGTAAGATCTAAGATTTTTAAATGATAATGCCCTTGCAAAGTGTTTAAAACTATTTGGCTTTTCCTTTAGAAAGATCATGAAAGAACTTAAACTATTTTGTAAATTATGTTCATAATGATTTTACTTACAAAGGATATAATTTGCTAGTCTATTTTCATAATGAATGAGAGCTTAATGAATCACACGTACTTCACCATTCAACAAAAATATAGGGCCTCACAACATTGAATTGAAATATTCATTAGAAGTCTTTGGACTTTGGCAAGAAGATTTCTAGATTTTTTTTTTCCATTTTTGCGGGCAAAGCATGTTCTTCAAATTTACTTAAAGGATTACTTAACCATCATGCAAAACTATTATGTATTGCAATTGGTAGCAGCTCAGATGGAAAATTTTATATTTGTACAATGGTCATGCATTTTCACAGGCCACAAACTCAGGTATAAGAAATGGAACCTCCTTTATTTTCCTGTAACAGAATTTGAGTTCTATTTCAGATCTCTCTTCTACTCAGTAGGAGAAAATTTTGTCTTGCCAATTCCAGGTAGATTTAGTCACATAAGAATTTTTTCAGACATACCTGCCTTCCCAGAGAGAGTTCTTTTTTCCCATGAGGATATGATGAGACAGCCAGACATTGGTGAAAACACATCAATCATCTAATTCTTGGTCATTGCTATGTTCTAGACTGGCATTCTCTGAGAAGTGGATTTTTGTCCAGTCCCTGGCTGTCTAGTCTACACTGTATCCTAGGTTGCACTACCCCTCTGTTGACCTAGACTTCCTGCACACACAAGAGTGTGTGTGAACTTCCAGTAGCGTGTTTTTTTCTTTTTTTTTTTTTCTCTCCATCTCAACTTACCTCTGCCCTTTTGTTGATTGCATGGGAAGGCTGGGTTGCCTCCTGCACCTCTCTGCATGTCCCTCACTTTGCCCCTGCATTCCTTCTGTTTCAAAGCTCCCATGTCATTGTAATACAAAGTATATCAGAGAGGCTACAGACTAGGAATGTCTCCAGATGGGAAAGTCAGAATACACATCTTTACCCAGTAGAAGCCCTAATCCCATTATGGTTCAGCCTATAGACAGGACACAGGGGAAACTCTGTCAGCTACTTGCTTCCTTCAGTATTGTCTCTCCCACTCCTCTCAGCATTTTTAGCTAGGATGGGACAAGGAAATGGCTCTTGCTGCATGTATTTTGCATTCTCTCTAATCTATTGCTTATGGCCTATACAACAGATCTTGCTTCCTTCAGATCTTAGACCTCTTGGAGCTCAAAAGAAACTTTCCTCTTTCTGAATGCTTCTAGCTCTTACAAATCAAAAGCCGTGGCTGCTAAGACTGCCATCTCTGCATTAAGTTTAAGAGAATACTTAGAAATTTAAAAGATGAGAATTGATTTGTTTGTTATCTCAGCTGACAACCCATACACTGACTAAGTGGATAGCAGTTGTCAGGACAACAAAAACATGCTAGAAGACAAAAAGTAATAGTAAATTTGTGAGATTTTAAAAATATACATATATACTACAAAAGTGGTATGTGGACAATGATTTTGAAGGAAATAACAGCTTATATTTATAAAAGTATAAGCACACGGCTGGGCGCAGTGGCTCATGCCTGTAATCCCAGCACTTTGGAGGCTGAAGCGGGTGGATCATGAGGTCAGGAGTTCAAGATCATCCTGGCCAAGATGGTGAAACCCCATCTCTACTAAGAATACAAAAAAATTCGCCAGGCGTGGTGGGGGGTGCCTTTAATCCCAGCAATTTGGGAGGCCGAGGCAGGTGGTCAGGAGTTCAAGATCAGCCTGGCCAAGATAGTGAAACCCCGTGTCTACCAAAAATACAAAAAAATTAGCCAGCTACTCGAGAGGCTGAGGCAGAGAATTGCTTGAATCCAGGAGGCGGAAGTTGCAGTGGGCTGAGATTGTGCCACTGCACTCCAGCCTGGGCGACAGAGTGAAACTCTATCTCAAAAAAAAAAAAAAAAAGAATATATATATATGTACACTTACAATATTTTCCTATCAAATAAGTCCTACGAGCAATTGTTGAGTGCACTGTGCCCCAGTAGTTAACAAACCCTGGTCTCAGGCTTTGAGCCACTCAAAGTTTAGCCTATCAGGGACCGTCAAGACCCTCTGGTGAGCTAAGTAGGAAAAAAATATGGTAAGCTTCCCTACTAGACATTACAATTGTGTTTGTCTTGTATTTTTCTGGTCCAGGGAGACATGTGTCCCACAGTTGCCTTTATCATTCAAAAAATCTAAATCAATCTGAGTCACTAAAGGTAGTTTTCTTCCATGCCAACCTCTGGCTTCTAGGGGAGTCTTACTGTCCAGGGCCCTGTCAAGAAATTTAGGGAACATGCCTTGAGAAGATACAGGGAAATTCAAGTAGCCCTTTTAATATTCAAGGTTCTATAATATGAAATGGCAGTCCCAGGGACTGATCTGACACACGTATGTGTTTTGTTGGCCTTGAAATAATTTAAAGCAGTGTCATCATTTAAAATTGGGAGATATCACAAAAGACCACCATGCCTCTGTATGACCTCTGCAATGTCAGCTGTTCCCAGGTCCCTGAATTGCACAGACTCAGACACAGACTGAAGCTGTCGGTGCTCCCAGCAAGAGACAAAAGGGAGTGACTCTCCAGTAAACCATAAACAGCACAGTCAGAACCCCAGAATGACCATACAAGAGTGAGTCCTTGAGCAATTTGAAGCCTCTGGACAACCCACGTCAAAAAGAGAGATAGAGAGACAGAGAGAAAGAGTGTGTATACATAAATATGTGCATGCATGGATAAACAAGAGAGAGTGATTATAAGCTTGGAGAGCATCCCAAATGGGAGAAATGGGTGCAATGCCTATGCAAGTCCAGGTCTAGGTTTGGGACACCATACCTAAAGGGGCACGCCAGTCCTGGTCATCTGAGATACTAGAGGAAGACAGAAAATTTTGAAAAAGACATTTGGAAACCCAGAGGACTCTGCAGTTTGGTGTAGTGAATAGGACAGGAGCTCTGATTGTCAATCTACAGGCAATACCTTCTGTGGACTCCCATTTGTACACTTGCCTCAGGTTCTGCAATGTTATGGCAGGACTGGCAGTCTTCCTCAGTCTATGATTTCAACTACACAATTTGTTGCCATTCTGACTTCTCTAAATAGACTGTTCATTCAGCCATTCATTCCCAGAATCATTATGCTAGAACTTGTTATAAAATTGTGAAACTACAGGCTGTGTCTCTGCCCTCATGAGCCTCCACTCTAGAGCTTTATTGAATTCAGATTCCTTTCATGTTTAAAATTATTTAAAAATTAAATTGGACAAGAAATAAAAGGTAGTAGAGTAAAAGGCCTCAAGAAGGGCAAACAAATACAGAGATCCTGGCTTTAACAATTTTAATCTCAAGCATACTTAAAAATGTAGGTTTGACCATTATTTCTTGAAAGGGTACCACTTCAATCCAATTAATCTATATAATATATATTTAATGAAAATATGAGCCACATTATAATTTATGTCTTGTTAATTAATAATTGGCTTCTTTATGTAATGTTCCTAAAAGCAATCAAAGCAAGGCCTGGCTGTGCTTACAATTGTGATTTTGCTACACTTTAATTGAAAGATCATTGACTCAGAAAACCAAGAAAACAAGATAGGGGAATTTGTTTTTGTTGTGAGAATTGATTACTCTGGGCCCTAGAAAAAGGTCTTACCTGTAATTGCCACTCAATTAGGATTTCAGAAACTAATAAACTTGAGACTATATAAAAAGATCAATTTAATAAATTTAGTTTGCCCACCTTAACATTCACTATCTGCTCCACATACTCATAAACTTCACTAAGACTAATAATTTTAAACCTACTGAAAATGTTCTATATGTTATGGAGAAAATTTTAATTTTTCTTTTTTGTTTTTTTGTTTTTTTGAGATGGAGTCTCGCTCTGTCACCCAGGCTGAAGTGCAGTGGTGCAATCTCGGCTCACTGCAACCTCCACCTCCCGGGTTCACGCCATTCTCCTGCCTCAGCCTCCGGAGTAGCTGGGACTACAGGTGCCCGCCACCATGCCCGGCTAATTTTTTATATTTTTAGTAGAGACAGTGTTTCACCGTGTTAGACAGGATGGTCTCGATCTCCCAACCTCGTGATCTGCCTGCCTCAGCCTCCCAAAGTTCTGAGATTACAGGCATGGGCCAACACGCCCTGCCGAAAATTTCAATTTTTCGTAATTTAACTTAGTATTTTAGCTGTCCACAAATAACAGAATATTCATCTCTTGGCTGTTGCCTTGCAAAAGAATCTGAAATTATCAGTTTTCTATTTTTTAAAATATGTTATTAATTTTGATTAATAAAAAGTAGTGGTATGATCAAGAAAATGAAGTTTAAATTAGAATAAAAAACTTATCTTAGATTTTCAGAAGAGTGTTATGGTTCAACAGGTGAGCTTCAATTTCACAAATGAATTAATGTGTGCTATTACAATTCATTTCTAAGAAATGTAATAAGTTTGCTGGGAAATGGTAAGGATCACATGTACGTGTTACTATTAGTAACACTTTCATGCATATTGAAAATATTATTTTTTCAAATTTATTTAATTGACAGATGTAATACAATTGTATGTATTTATTGTGTACAACATGCTGTTTTGAAGGATATACACATTGTGGAATAGCTAAATCTAGCTAATTAGCATATTCATTAATTCACATAGTTACCATTTTTTGTGATGAAAACACATAACATCCACTTTTAGCATTTTTTCAGCATCACTAATATAGTCACTATGCTATACAATCCATCTTGTATCCTTTGACCAACAGTCCTCAATACTCTCCCAACCATCTTAGCTTCCAGTAACCACCAATCTACTCTCTATTTCTATGAGACAATCTTTTATAGATTCCACACGTGAGTGAGATCATGTGGTATTTATCTTTCTCTGCCTGGTTTATGTTACTTAACATAATCTTCAGATTCATCCATGTTGTCTCAAATGACAGGATTTCCTTTTTTTATGTCTGAATAGTATTCCATTGAGTATATTTATAACAGTTTCTTAATCCTTTCATCTATTAATTCTCAATCCATTTATCTTAGTTTGATTCCATACCTTGGCTATTGTGAACAGTACTGCAATAAACATGGCAACACAGATATCTCTTTCATATACTCATTTCCTCTGCTTTAGATATTTACCCAGTAGTGGGACTTCTTGAAGATACAGTAGTCCTATTTTTAATTCTTTGAGAAGCTTCCATTCTGTTTTCCATATTGTTTATACTAGTTTACATTCCACCAACGGCAGGCAAAGACTCCCTTTTTCTACATCCTTGCCAACACTTATCTTTTGTCTTTTTCATAATAACCATTCTAACTGGAGTGAGGTGGTATTCTGTTGTGGTTTTGATTTGCATTTCTCTGGTTATTAGTGATGTTGAGCATTTTTTTCATATATCGGTTGGCCATTCATATGTCTTTTTGTGAGCAATGTCTATTCAGGTCTTTTGCACATTTTTAAACTGGGTTATTTGTTCTCTTGATATTGAGTTGTTTACATTTCTTATATATTTTGGATATTAGCCATTATGAGATGTATAGCTTGAAGATACTTTCTCTCATTCTGTAGGTTCTCTCTTCACTTTGTTCATGGTTTCTTTTGCTGTGCAGAAGCTTTTTAATTCAATATAATACAATTTGTTTATTTTTGCTTTTGTTGCCTGTGCTTCTGTGGTTATATCCAAAAAATCATTACTCAGACCAATGTCATGGAACTTTCCCCATGTTTTCTTCTAGTAGTTTATAGTTTTAGGTCTTACACATTTAAGTCTCAATCCCATTTTGACTTGATTTTTGTATACGATGAGAGAGAAGTGTCTAAATTGCCTTGTTCTGCCTGTAGATATCCAGTGTTACCAAAACCACTTATTAAAGAGACTGTCCTTTCCCCATTGTGTGTTCTTGGCACCTTTGTTGAAAATCAGTTGACTGCAAACTTGTGGATTTATTTCTGGGCTCTCTACTCTGTCCTATTGGTATATGTGTTTGTATTTATGCCAGCACTATGCCGTTTTCATTACTATAGCTTTAGAGTTTATTTTGGTAGCCTGATGCCTCCAGCTTTTTTTCTTTATGCTCAAGATTGCTTTGGTCATTTGGAGTCTCCTGTTGTTCCATACAAATTTTAGGATTTTTTTCTATTTCTGTGAAGAATGTCATTAGTATTTTGGTAGGGATTGTATTGAATTTGTATATCACTTTTGGTAATACAGACAATTAAGCAATATTACATCTTCCCATTTATGAAAATGGGATATCTTTTCATTAATTTGTATCTTCTTCAACTTCTTTCTTCAGTGTTTAATAATATTCAGTGTAGAGATTTATCATCTTCTTAGTCAATTTTATTTCCATGTGTGTTTTTTTTGTAGCTATTGTAAATGGAACTATTTTCTTGATTTCTTTTCAGATAGTTGGCTATTAGTGTATAGAAATGCTATGGATTTTTATGTTGATTTTGTATCCTGCAACGTTACTGTGTTTCTTCTCATATTGTGTGTGTGTGTGTGTGTGTGTGTGTGTGTGTGTGTGTGTGAAATCTTTAGGCTTTTGTATAAGATCATGTCATCTGCAAACAGGGATGATTTAACTTGTTCTAGTTTAGATTTTTTATTGTTTTTGTCTAATTGCTCTGGCTAAGACTTCCAGTACTGTGTTGAATAACGTGGCAAGAGTGAGAATTCTTGTTTTGTTCCAGATCTTAGAGGAAAAGCTTTCAACTTTTCCCAGTTGAGTATGATATTAGCTGTATGTCTGTCATATATAACCTTTATGATGTTTAGATACATTTTTTCTACACATGTGGGAACTAGTAATGTTTAAAACTTCTTAAATTAGTTAAAAAAAGAGTGGCAGTTATAACCAACATCTGTGTTGATTTCAAATATTGCTTCCTGGACTGCTAGCTCTGTGACCTGTGTAAATTAATTTCTTTAAACCTGTGAGTCTTTCTCTGGATAACCAGTTTAACTTATACCACAGGTTAATTCCAGGATTTGATGATATGAAGAATGTTGACCACCTGACACAGTTTTGGTACATAATGAGTACTTTATACTTGCATAAACAACAAGCAGTAGTATAGTGTATCATAATAAAATTTATATAAATGTCATAATTTTATGATCAGAATATGCTACAACTTTTAAAAAGTTGTTTTAAAGTATAATATATACAAAAAAGTGCACATATCCAAAGCATAGAGCTCAGTTAATTTTCATAAGTAACGCATATCCATGTCCATCTGATCGAAGCTGGACTTGATATTCTAGTGGGTAAAGTTACTTTGAAACATGCTTTCATTGCTTAATTTTGTGTTTTTGACTTTATTCTTATTCTTAAATACAGATATTTTTCATTCGTTTTAATGGTGATGGTATTCCATCAAATATCATATTTTATTTATCCACTTCCAAAATTATTGACTAAACATCATTTCTAAGTATATTTTCTCATAAGTGGAAAACAGTCATTATGTTCCTTGTTTTTAACAGTGTTAGCATCTGTCTAAACATTATCAATGACCTTTTCGTTACTGGCATCTATCTTACTTGAACTCTTTATTTGGAATAAAAATATTTATGCTTTACTATTTTAAGACACTATGTTAGAGAATGTGATCTCTATATTTTTCACCCTCAAATAAAAATAGAGCTTTTATTTACTTAAAATTAGGGAAAGTATTTATAAAAACTCACCTTAATATTTGACCATTGTGTTAGGCAGAAAAATGGTCCCCCAAAGAAATCCAAATCCTAATCCCTAGAACCTGTGAATATGTTGCCTTGCATGGCAAAAGGAGCTTTGCACATGTGATTAATTTAAGGCTCTTTGGGATGGGGAGATTATTCTGGATTATCTAGGTGGGCTTAGTGTAATCACAAGGTCCTTATAAGAAGGAAGTAGGAGGGATAGAGTCAGAGAAGGAGAGGTCAAAGTGCTGTGACCACTAGAAGGGAACCACAAATTAAGGAATGGAGGTGCTTTTGAGAAGCTGGACCACACAAAGACTGGATTCTCCCCCAGAATCTGCAGAAGGAATGCAGTCTTACAACACCTTAATTTTAGTCCCATATGACACATTGGGGCCTTCTGACCTTTAGAACTGTAAATAATTTTTTGTTGTTTTAAGCCACAAATTTTGTGGTAATTTGTTATAGCAGCAATGGAAAACACTAATACAACCATTGATCGAATTCCAGAAAATAGCAACATTAAAAGTTGCTTTGAAAATGCAAGATTGAAAGCCCTCAAAACTATCTTTGTGTTGAGTGAACATTCTAATTATGCCTTTTTCAGCATGTTGCATACCTGAAAAGCCTCAGTAAATAGACTGAATTTAAAAAAAAATCCATAGGGGACTAAATTGAGGAACAAATTTCATAGACACTAACATTTCTTTCTAGGAATTAGCTCTATAATTATCTAGCAGTAGATAGTTTTGCTCTCTTGCTCTTTTCTGTGAAGCCTATGGTTCTGATAAATGATTTTTCATCAAAGGGTCAAAAATATAATAGAACCAGTGAGGATAAAAAGTATTTTGTTAATCCTCATATTAACTTGTCCTCTGCAAACTCAATTCATGAATATATGACATTTTTTAAAGTTCGAGGTTCTCAAAGTTTTCTTATGGCAAAAAGTTTTAAAAATCAGAGCCTTCCACATTAGCTAATGAGAGAAAGTTCATAAAATCTTTTTTTCTTAAACTAAGGGGAACTTGAATGAATTATAAGAACTTCCAAAACAGAAGTTAGCAAGCATTACTAAAACACACTGGTTTATGGTGACCCCAAATACTAGGTGACCATTTATCTGGAAAGTTCCTTTTGGTTATGAAGATAGACCTCTTATGCAGGTGCTGACAGATGTAGGATAGTTTGAGTCTGCAACAGCAAACAGGATCCACCCAAGAGATCTTGTAATATCCTTGTCACCTCCATCAGAGATCCCCTCAGAGATTCTCTAGGCTGTACCTAGATTTTTTATGTTAAAAAATCTAATTTTGATAGAACTGGTCTTGCTCTCTCCATCTGATTTATCACCACCCAATCCAAAGTCTTTGTTATCTTTCTCTCTTAGCCCACATAGTTCATAGGCATGCACATGTTCTTGGACCTCCAGGAGCATTGTATAGAGAAAGAGATGGTGATCCTCTCTTCAGATGAATTTTCCACCACATCCTTACTCTACCGTCAGGGTCAGGCAACACAGAGACATTGCAACCAATCAGACATTCCTGTCCTTCTACCAGGGAAACTAATCAACCATTCATTACTGCTCAAAGGCACGTATCAAGCACATCCTAAGTGTAAGGATGTAAACATGAATAAAGGCATGCTTCTTATTCTCAAAGACTTTGTGGTCTGCTTCTCCAGAAGGTGGAATTACAGATATCATTTGTTGAGTAACTTGAATTTTCCTGCCATTTTATATACTCTTTTATCCAAATAAAATCTCTATTAAGTAAACATTATAAATCAAATTGGAATTGCTCTTATCACTGCGATAATCACAACTCAGATTTCAATGTCAAGAATGGCATCCTGACTCTCCAAAACCTTTAACTTTTTGTCTATTTCATTTTATGACTGTTTTGACTATTTTCATATTTAGAACCAGTGTAGAAGTCTGAGGATCCTGGAAAGCTGGCCACTGCCATGCTAAATTTATATGTTCATGCACATATATAACCAATACAAATATATTTATATATGTATAATGTATAAAGTGTTTTGATTTCTTGCCTTTATTCAATTTTCATGCCAAATATATCCGGTAGGCCTGGCAGCTGTGTATTTTGAACTCATTACACAAAAACTAGAAATTGTACAACTGCATTAATTTATCAGTATCTCCATTAGAAATATTTGGAAAAGAAATTATCCATGTTTTGGTAAATTGTTAGAACGATCAATGGCAAGAAACATGAATAATTGAATCTGTTATTATAATCATTACATATTAACTTTTATTTCTTATTGTTACCGGGGATCCTTGCTCCCAGAGCTCCCGAGATGGTGGCGGGCCACTTCCAAGATGGTGGCAAGCCTCGTGTCCTCTGACCTGGGGTTCTTGGCCTCACGGATTCCCAGGAATGGAATCTTGTGCCATGCAGTGAGTGTTATAGCTCTATTAGAAGCCGTGGGTCACAGAAGAGAACCGTGGAACCCAGTAACTAGTGTTCAGCTCGATTAGGATGAACCCGGGCACTTAGCCGTGCAGGCACAACGGCAAGCCTTTAGCCCGATCGGGAGCGGCAATGGGCGCCTCGCTGGATCAGGAGCACAATGGACACCCTGCCGGATCCGGAGGGATGGAAGTCAGCAGTGGGTCTGCGACTGCGGCAAACAGCAGTGGTGGACGGCCAGCAAAAGCTCAGCTCCAGCCGTAACAAACACGGACCAGAAGAGAGTGCAGTTGCAAGATTTAATAGAGTGAAAACAGAGCTCCCATACAAAGGGAGGGGACCCAAAGAGGGTAGCAGTTGCTGGCTGGAATGCCTGGGTTTATAGTCCGATCATTGTCCCTCCCGCTGTGCTCTCAGGCGATAGATGATTGGCTATTCCTTTACCTCTTGTTTTTGCCTAATTAGCACTTTAGTGAGCTCTCTTTACTACCTGATTGGTCGGGTGTGAGCTAAGTTGCAAGCCCTGTGTATAAAGGTGGATGTGGTCACCTTCCCAGCTAGGCTTAGGGATTCTTAGTCGGCCTAGGAAATCCAGCTAGTCCTGTTTCTCATTATTATAGTTGTTTTGACCACCATTTGTTTGTCTGCATGGTGCAGCAGCATCAGTGAAACGGTGAACTCTATATAGTGGTGATGGCTATTATTTCAATTTTATTTGAAATAAAATTGTCATTGTTAAATTATTTTATTCCTGCTAGACCATGAAATCAGGGATGGCAAATAGTTTTTCTTTTTTGTGCTAACTCCAACTGATTTGAAGATTACTCTGAGGTCATTTGCAGTCTTACAGAAAAAAAGTACATTGTAAGGTTAGTAATGTTTGCCATGGGAAAAAGTTAGTTGAGTGGTGGAATTTGTGCCCCATATCTGCCCTTCCAGCTCTAGATTGCTAGGAAAATAATGGTGCAGATTTTCTCCTCTAATATAAAATCAGTTTATCTATTAAGACAGGAAAAACTGATTAGCACATCTCTTTACCAGTTGCAAAAATAGAAATTCATTTTCTTTCCATAAAGAGCACTAGAAAGAAGCTTTGGGATAGAAGATTTCAGTGTTAAAAATTATTCTAATGAAATGTGCTCTGTAATTCAAAGTCGAATCCTAAATTCATGACTGAAGATCTAAGAGGTAAAAGAACAGCTATAACTCTACATTTTCAGCATGGTCTCATTGTCTTTTTTTTTTTATCATACTTTGCTAAAAGTGGGGAGGAGAAAGCCATTCATATTTTAAGAATCAGCAGTATCATAAACCATTTCTCCTGACTTAACATCTTTATAATAAAAATTCTACTATAATAAATTCATTGCTAGGTTGCGTTTTTATTACTACAATCTCCCCCATGAGTTCTCAGTTAAAAATATTCTGAGGGAGGCAGAAAAATGTCATTTGTGTCAGAACATAATTCTCTGCCTGCTGGAAAAAAAGGCATATAGTTTGTGATACTTGCCTATTATTTTTAGAGACTGATATATAAATGTATTAAAAGCAAATTTTAAAATAGATGGGAGTATATTGTATTATCAAGTTATTGCTATAAAAGTAACCATCATGAATTGTGAAGTATCTAATATTCACCTCAAGTATCTATAAAAACAACAACAAAAATGTTCCAAATTTCTAAGACAAAGAAGAATTTAAAAAATGGCATCTACTGGTATCTATTCATTATATAGTCGTTTTTCTTTTTTATTATGAAATTAAAATGTATTAAATGAATTCTGGAATCTATTTATTTGTATTGTGCTACTTCTAAAATTTGGATACATATATTCTGAGTTAAAGTGAAGTAAACAACAATAACAACAATAACAACAACAACATTTCCTTTTTACTATGCTAATTGTGTGTAAACTACCCCAGGCTGTAATGAAGTTCCTTTGGAAGTTATCTAATGGAAGCTTCCTATATATGCATTTAAATCAGATACAAGTCATCATGTACATATATTGATACACAAATTTGGCCCACTAAATGGAAAATCTACCTGTATATTTGCAATGGGCTAAGGCAATAATTTAAGATGAAAAAAGTGTCTCAACTTTGGGCTTAAGGAGGCAAATCACCAAGGGTAAAAATGAGGCTGGACATGGTGGCTCAGGCCTGTAATCCCAGCACTTTTGGGAGGCTGAGGTGGGCAGATTGCCTGAGATCAGGAGTTTGAGACCAGCCTCGCTAACATGATGAAATCCCACCTCTACTAAAAATATAAAAATTAGCCGGGCGTGGTGGCGGGCACCTGTAATCCCAGCTACTTGGGAGGCTGAGGCAGGAGAATCGCTGAAACCCAGGAGGCAGATGTTGCAGTGAGCCGAGATGGTGCCACTTCTCTCCAGCCTGGGGGACAGAGCAAGACTCCATCTAAAAAAAAAAAAAAGACTTACTCTCCTCATTCTAAAGATTCTCAGATCCAATTTTCTTTCTGGAATTACTTTTGTGTTGACATTTCTTCTCCATTCCCACCAAGGCTGTTTTTTTCCACCCTAATATAATACATGATCTTTACCATTTTCCACAGATTTATAGAATACCTTGCATTCCAGTAGCCCTTCACTCTACTTCCCTCTTCATGGCATCAATAGAGTCATCTTTGAGGAAGGGTTGTGGAACCAACTATAAGGTTATTCACCGCTTAAAACCAATGCTGCTTCAAAATCCAACTTCAGTAGACCTCTCCAGTGTCATTTTACTTGACTGAAATCTCACTTTCCAACTATACTGGACTTTCAATATTCCCTGAATACCTTACACTGTTTTGTGACATTACATTGTATACAAATCTACCTTTCTGACGTCATTTCCCCCTTGGTGTTTTAATGTATTCTCATCACCTTTGCTATTAATACCTTGTTTTTCTGGGTCAGCAGTTTGCTTCCTCTTCAGGGTTTGTTAGGAAAAACTGTGAAAGACTTTAAAATGGAAAAAATAAAATTACTGAATAGCCTTCAATGGAATGCTGGCATTCTCTAGCTGGCCCTTTAGAGATGTCTCATTCTATAGCAACTGCTGAGTGCCTTGACTAGATTACTTTATAACTCTTTAAATTGTAGAAAGCTGACAGTAATGCAAGTGGTTATTGTACATAGAAATACAAAAACTTTGTTCTGTAGAAATACAATTTATGTCTGCCTTGAAGAAAAGACAATTTTAAACATTATATTTTATTGCCCTATAAAGCATTAAACTTTTTAAAGTCTATTAGCAAATTCAGATCTCTAAAAGCAGTTCTCATCAGTGGACACAAAATTTTTAATTGATTTGAACACACAAATAGGCAAAAGAAAATACAAATAGAAAGGATTTACAAGGCTCTCTCATTGCATATATATTAACAAATTCATTTCTTTATCAGTAAATTTGTTTCAGCATTGTTGATATATATATATAGGATATATTATATATATATTCTATATATATCTATACATAAACATACAGAGATATAAATTTGATTCTACTTTTAACCAGTTTTAAAATCTTACTGGTTCCTCACTTTTACACTGCTGGTGGGAATGTAAACCAGTACAATCACTATGGAAAACAGTGTGGAGATTCCTTAAAGAACTACTGGGTATCTGCCTAGAGGAAAAGAAGTCATTATATGAAAAAGACACTTACACACACGTTCATAGCAGCACAATTTGCAATTGCAAAAATATGGAACCAGCCCAAATGCCCATCAATCAACAAATGGATAAAGAAAATGTGGTATATATAAACCATGGAATACAACTCAGCCATAAAAATAAACAAAATAATGGCATTGGCAGCGATCTGGATGGAGTTGGAGACCATTATTCTAAGTGAAGTAACTCAGGAATGCAAAACCAAATATTGTCTGTTCTCACTTATAAGTGGGAGCTAAGCTATGAGGACCCAAAGGCATAAGAAGTGACATAATGTACTCTGGGGACTCAGGGGAAAGAATGGGAGTAGGGAGTGAGGAATGAAAGACTACACACTGAGTACAGTGTACACTGCTTGCATGATGGGTACACCAAAGTCTCAGAAATCACCATTAAAGAACTTATCTATGAATCCAAAAACCACCTGTTCCCCCCAAAACTATTGAAATAAAATAAAATTTAAAAAATCTTACTGGTTCCTTCATTAATAAATATGTTGAATAAAATATTTTATATCTGTGTAACAGTCATGGATTTACTGTTTTGAAAATCACATTTTATCCATTTTGGAGGCCCACAGAGATACACAATGGATTCACCTGAATGGACCAGGTTGTTGAAGTGGATCTCTTGAACTGTTTAAGCCAAGCTATTTATTCTCTTGACTCCTGTGATAAATACCAAGCAGCAAAAACATTTAAACTTTGCTGACTCCATTTCTGTATTCCTTTTCCTCTCTACTAATTGTGTGTATGGTTTGTGCAATAGAATAATTTATTCCACCTTGGTGACAACAGTGATTAGAAAATGGATTTTATGGTGTGACTTTCTGATGATCTACATCAGATAGGTAATAGAAATATATTATCTGATGAATGAGAAATAAGGGAATCTTGTGTTTAAGTCTTTTCTTTTTGTCTTTATCTTTTGTCTCTATGTGTGCTCAAATCAATTAAGAATATTTTGTCCACAGAATGTGAAAACAATTCTGAGAGACCTGAATGAGTGAGTTTTTGTGTTTCTGTGTTTACTTTCAACCTTTGCCTGAGATTGTGAAACTAAAGCTATGTATGCTCTCTCTGTATCAGTGCATCTGTGTGTCCATGTGCTTGTAATTGGGAAAGGCCTTGACCTCTCAGGATACGACTATTGACTGTACCCTAATTCTGGCAGGTTTTAATAAATTAAATTTTAATCACTCTTAAATCAAAAGACCTCTGTTTTGATTGGTTGCCTAGCTGACCCTCTAAGCTTATTGACTAGGTAGTGTCTGTTCCTTTGTTTACCCTTTACTAGGCTAGTTTTCAACTCTATAAACAGTAGAAAATTCATAGTCATACAAATTGTTCTTGTCTACTAAAAGGCAAATGGATTTTTCCAGTAGAGATAAAATTGTTATCTACTCAACAGAAAAATGTATTTCAAAGATAATATTTTATATAGCTTTGCATCTGTAAGCAAAATTATTTCAATATTCTTGACTGTGTCTGCATATCTGTATCTACATCTACATCTACCTGTTTTTGTATTCATTAATTAACTAAATAAAATCTTTGACGTGTTCATTTATATTTGAATAAGAGTCATGGTTTTACTTTTTTAGAATACATTACCAGCTCCCTCTTCACTTTGTTCATAATTCTGCATTATATAACATTTCTCCTCTCCTGCTCTCCAGACTATGAGCAACTTAAGGGAAGAATTTTTGTATTTATACAAAAATTTTGTATTTTCTATTTATAGATATAAAACAAAATACCTGTTTTATTGTCAATAGTAGGACTAAAATACTCATTTTTTATTATCAGAAGAAAATGACAGGACCTGTACTATAAATATATATATTTTATTATTGGAGAAAAATTATAGGGCCTTCTAAGGGATTAGGTGAAGAAAAACAAGTAAGAAAATAAGAGTATGACTAAACTTTTAAATCACCTACCACATTTTAAATGGGCTGACCATTAATAGGCTTTCCTATTCATTGATTTTGTTAATCAAGATTTATGCAAAATAATGAATTGAAATGCTAAACACCCGAAAACATTTCGACCATTGTCGAAGTTTTTCAAATTTTATTATGGAGAGTTTGAAATAATGGTATCTATTGTATCTGTGTAAACATAATTTGCTAAATGCAATACCAAATTTCACACTCTTAAAGTCTGACTTTAATTAATTTTAATTACCCATATTTAAAAAATTTTGAAAACTATGATAATGGGAATTGCAAATTTGCTCTCTACCTTTGTTTCCTTAATTCATTTGAATTTTTCTGTTGATATTTAAGGCTCATTTATTATTATTAAAAATAAAAATTATTGTAAAAATTAATTATTGTTAAAAATAACACTGAGTTCAACTCATAATGATAAAGTTTTATCTAAGGACAACTAAGCGAAGTAATTTTTATTTTATGTTTTTATTTGCTTAAATTTAAGTCATACAAAATGCAGTTTTTTTTTCAGTGGATGGTAGTGGTGAAATCTTGGCTTTTAATGTAACTATCACTCAAATAATGTACATTGTAACCATCAAGCAGTTTCTCATCTCTCAACCCCCTGGCACTACCCCACACTTCCAAATTTTTAATGTCTATTATTCCACACTGTATGTCTCTGTGTACACATTATTTAGCTCTCACTTATCAGTAAGAACATACAGTATTTATCTTTCTGTGCCTGGCTTGTTTTACTTAAGATAATGACCTACAGTTACATTTATGTTGCTGCAGAAGACATTATTTCCTTCTTTTTAATGGCTGATAATATCCCATCATATGTATATACCATGTTTCATTTATCCAATCATCTGTGGATGGACACATAGCTTGATTCCATATCTTTGCTATTGTGAATAGTGCTGTGATAAACATATGAGGGCAGGTATCTCTTTGATATAATGATGTCTTTTTCTTTGGGGAGATACCCAGTAGTGTAATTGTTGAATGGAATGGTAGTTCTATTTTTCATTCTTTGAGAAATCTCCATATTACTTTTCATAGAGATTGCACCAATTGACATTCCCACCAACAGTGTATTTGCATTCCCTTTTCTCTTTATTCTTGTCAACATCTGTTACCTTTTGACTTCTTTCTAATAGCTAATCTGACTGGTGTAAGATGAAATCTCATTATGATTTTAATTTGCATTTTTCTGATGATTGTGTTGAGCATTTTTCACATGCTTGTTGGCTATTTTTGTATGTCTTCTTTTGAAAGATGCTTGCTCATGTCCTTTGCCCACTTTTTAATGTGATTATTTGTTATTTGTTGTTGTTGAATTGTTTGAGTTCCTCGTAAATTCTGGGTATCAGTCATCTGTTGGATAAATAGTTTGCAGATATTTTCTCTCATTCTGCTGGTTGCCAGTTCACTCTGTTGATGGTTTCTTTTGCTGTTCAGAAGCATTTTAGTTTAATTAAGTTGGATTTGTATATTTTTGTTGCTAGTGTTTTTGAGGTCTTAGTCATAAATTGTTTGCCTAGACCAATGCCCAGAAGAGTTGTCCTTGGCATTTCTTCTAGTATGTTTATAGTATCAGGTCTTTTTTTTTTTTTCAGAATCTTACTCTGTCACCCAGGCTGGACCTCAGTGTCACGATCATGGCTCAAGTGAGCAGCCTTGACATCCCCAGGCTCAGGTGATCTTCCCACCTCAGCCTGTTGACTAACTGTGACTACAGGCACACATGCATCATGCCTGGGTAGTTTTTGTATTTCTCTTCGTAGAGATGGGGTTTCATTATGTTGCCCAAGCTGGCTTTGAACTCCTGAGCTCAAGTGATCTGCCTGCTCCCACCTTCCAAATTGTTGGGATTATAGGCGTGAGCCACCACACCTGGCCCACACTTAAATCTTTAATGCATCTTGAGTTGATTTTTGTATATAATGAGAGATAGGGATCTAATGTCATTCTTCTGGGTATGGCAATTCAGTTTCCCCAGAACCATTTAATGAAAGGGATATCCTATCCCCAGTATATGTTTATGTCAACTTTGTCAAAGATTAGTTTTGCTTTATCAAAGATCAGTAGATATGTGGCTTTATTTCTGGGTTCTCTATTGTGTTCCACTGATCTATGTGCCTATTTTTATAGCAGTGCCATGCTGTTTTTGTTATTATAGCCTCATGGTATAATTTGAGGTCAGGTAATGTGATGCCTCAATCCTTGTTCTTTTTGCATAGAATCTCCTAGGTTTTTCAGGCTCTTTTTTGGTTCCATATGAATTTTAAGATTCTTTTTTTTTGTAATTCTGTGAAAAATTACACTGGTATTTTGATAGGGATTACATTGAACCTATAGATTGCTTTAGGCAGTATAGTCATTTTAATCATATCGATTCTTCCAATTCATTAATATGGAATATCTTACCATTTGTTTGTTTAATATACAATTTCTTTCATCAGTGTTTGATAGTTTTCCTTGTAAAGATTTTTCACCTCCTTGGTTAAATTTATTCCTAAGTATTTTATTTTTATTTTGGTAGACATTGTAAATGGGATTGCCTTCTTGATTCAATTCTTATATTAATCATTATTAGTGTATAGAAATGCTGCTGATTTTTGATTTTGTATCCTGACACATTATTGAATTTATGTATCAAATATAAGAATTTTCTGGAGGAGTTTTAAGGCCTTTTCTATCTATAAGATCATATCATCAGTGAATGGAGATAATTTGACTTCCTCTTTTCCCATTTAGATGTCTTTTATTTTTTTCTCTTGCCTGATTGCTCTGGATGGGACTTCTAGTACTATGTTTGAACGGGAGTGATGAACTTGAGATGATTGTATGTTTTTGTCCATCATGTTCATGTGATGAATCATATTTATTGATTTGTATATGTTGACCAAACCTTGCATGCCTAAAATAAACCCACTTTGTCATAGTGTATTATCTTTTGGTGTATTGTTGGATTTGGTTTGCTAGTATTATGTTTAGGATTTTTGCATCCATATTTATCAGGGATATTGGTCTGTAGATTTTCCATTTGCATATAGGGCTTAGGTATCAGTGTGACACTGGCTTTGTAGAATGAATTAGAGAGGATTCCCTCCCTCTTGATCTTTTGGAATAGTTTTAGTAGAATTATTGTCAGTTCTTTAAACATCTGGTAGAATTCAGCTGTGAATTCATTTGATCCTGGACTTTTTATTTTTGGAGGAAATTTTTTATTATTGATTCAATCTCACAGCACTAGACAGATCATAAAGATACAAAATCAAGGAAGAAACATTGGACTTCAGTTGGACTTTAGACCAACTGGACCTATCAGACATTTACAGAAAATTCTACCTAACAACTGCAGAATATACATTCTTGTCTTCATCACAGGGACTATTTTATAAGATAGGAAATATTTTAGACCACAAATTGAGTCTTAATATATTTTTAAAAATCAAAATCATGTCAAGCATCTTCTCAGACCACAGCAGAATAAAAGTAAAACTAAATTCCAAGAGGAAATCTCAAAACTATACAAATATATGGAAATGAAACCATATGCTCCTGAATATTTGTGTCAATTTCAAAATTAAGATGGAAATTAAAAAAAATTTTTAAACAAATGAAAATGGAAATACAACATACCCCATACACCTGGGATATAGCAAAAACAGTGCTAAGAGTATAGTGTATAGCATCCAATATCTACATGAAAAAAATAGAAGGATCACACATTAACAACCTAACATCATACCTTGAGGAACCAGAAAAACAACAACAAACCAAAACCAAAGCTAGCAGAATAAAAGAAGTAACAAAGATCAGAGCATAACTGCATGAAAAATTAGCAAATCAGTATATATATATTTTTGAGATAGGCTCTCAATCTGTTGCCCAGGCTGGAGTGTGGTGGTGCAATCATGCCTCACCACAGCCTTGGCCTCCCTGGGCTCAAGTGATCCTCCCACCTCAGCATCCCCAGAAGCACAGACCACAGGTGTGTGCCACCACATCTGGCTAATTTTTGTATTTTTTTGTAGAGAGGAGCTTTTACCATGTTACCTAGGCTGGTCTTCTGGTCTTTCTCTCCTGAGCTCAAGCAATCTGCCTGCCTGGGCCTCCCAAAGTGCTGGGATTACAGGTGTGAGCCACCGCACCCAGTGGCAAATCAAAATTTTTAATAGCTAAGTATAATCCAGTTCTGACAATTTTAAGCTTGATAGTTTAACTTTCTGAATATTTGTAGATACTAAGAAGAAAACAATTGCAGCTGGAGATTTTTTTGGGGAAAAGTTTATGTATCTTAAAAGTATAAAAGTCAAGCAAGCCATTCATGATACAAAATATTTTAAAATTAACTCTTTGGGTACTTCTATGGTTGGAATATGTCCCTCAAATTTCATGTGTTGGAAACATAATCCCCAAATTTATATAGTAATGGTATTTGGAGGCAAGGCCTTCGGGAGGTAATGTGCATTAGATAAAGTCATCATGTGGGGCCTTCCTCAAGGGACTAGTGGCTTTATAAAAGAGGAAGAGAGAACTGAGATGCCATGCTCCTGCCCCCTTGTCATGTGATACCCTATGCCATGTTATGATTCAATGGAAAGGCCTCACCAGATGTGGCCCCTAGATCTTGGACTTCCCAGACTCTAGGACTGTAAGAAATAAATTTATTTTCTTTATAAATTATATAGCCTGTGGTGTTCTGTTATAGCAACAGAAAACAAACTAAGGTACTTTTGATGACTTTGTTTCTTACTGTATAGAATACCAACTTTAAAATAAGTTGGTAATTCATTGTAGTAATAAAACAAATGGGGAGTAAACTGTACTCCTTTAATGAGAATGTATAAAATGGTCAGAATTCCAAATATCAGAATAGTACTCCAGGATCTCGTTTTCAATACATGTCAATTTTCTGAAAAAATAAACTGGACACTGCATATGAATGAAATTTAATGTTGAATTAAATAATAAAATGTTTGTTTTGTGCATTCATAAGTCCATACAATAAGATTTACATTATCTACTGTGGGGTAAACACACTTGATCCTGTGTGGCAAATGCATCCAAATGTGTGTTCCAAGCTAGGGAATCTAGGAATGGACAACCTGGAGATATGTTCCTTATCTGTGATAAACATCTGAGCCCCTCGCCCATTCCATGTGACATGAGCCATACAGGGGATTGAGGCCCTGTGTTTTGAGATGGATGAAGGTTGCCAGGTGGAGGTCATTAAGGGGAGGGTGTTAAGTGAAAATGCTATATAAATTGCATGCTGTTTGAAAATGGTTGCAGTTATCCTGCCCAGCCCACTGCCACTGGGCCATGTGGTTATGTTGTCCAGCCCACCACCCCGAGACCATTACTGTACATAAAGCAGTTTTCCTGTAAGCCCACTGCCACTGGACTATCTGCCCTGCATGTAAGTCCCTGATAAACCCTATGTCTCATTTGCTGGATCTGGGTCTCTTCTCTGGCTTCTTGAACCTGGTGCCTTCCTTATTGGGGTTAATAGGGATTCAGCACAACATCAACATTTTAAATAATAAGAAAAAATATTATATATTTACCCACACAGTTACCAATTCTGGGGTTTCGTTACTTTATATAGATCCACATTTCTACCTGGTATCATTTCCTCTCCGAGTAGCTTTTTTCTCTTGGTGTCTTCTTTGCAAATTATAGTTGCTTTTGTCTCCCTAAGATTTCCTCTCTTCTTATCAGGGAGTCCAAAGGCTCTGTATAGGTTGCCCCTTCCTGCCTGACAGCAAAGTCCACAGAACCAAATAATGTTCATTCAATCCCATAGGAGAATCATGGAGAAAATATAGGTCATTGTACTAGTCAGAATTCTTTGGAGAAATAGAATCAATAGAAGATTGGCTTACATGATTTTGGTGGTAAAAGAGTAGTTGCATATGGAAGCTGCACTCAGGAAGCTGGAAGTCAAGGAGAGTTGATAGTGTAAGTTCCAGACCCTGTCAGAGTCTGAAGGCAAGAAAAGACCAATGTCCCCGGTTGAAGACGGGCAGAGAGAGGAATTCTCTCTTACTCAGGCTTATTGCTCTGTTCAGGCCTTCAATGGACTGTATGAGCTCCATCTGCATTGGGAAGAGCAACCTGCTTTATTCAGTGTACCCATTCAGATTCTAGTCACACCCAGAAATACTCTCAAAGACACACCAGAATAACGTGTAACTAAATGTCTGGGTATCCCAGGGCCCAAGTTGACACATAAAATAACCCATTTTGTTCATACTTCAAAGCTGAGGGATAGGATGATTCAGTTTTTGCTCCTCACCTGTCTGCTACTGGCTAAGCATTGCTTAGGTAGGAGGTGTATTAGCCCGTTTTCATGCTGCTGATAAAGACATACCTGAGACTGGGCAATTTACAAAAGAAAGAGGTTTAATGGACTTACAGTTCCACATGGCTGGGTAAGGTCTCGCAATCATGGAAGAAGGCAAGAAGGAGAAAATCACATCTTATGTAGATGGAGGCAGGCAAAGAGAGAGAGCTTGTGCAGGGAAACTCCCATTTTTAAAACAACCAGATCTTGTGAGACTTATTAACTATCATGAGAACAGCACAGGAAAGACTCACCCTCATGATTCAATTACCTCCCACCAGGTTCCTCCCATGACACATGGGAATTGTGGGAGTTTCAATTCAAGATGAGATTTGGGTGGCAACATAGTCATACCATATCATTCTATCCCTGGCCCCTCCCAAATCTCATGTCCTCACATTTCAAAACCAGTCAGTCCCCCAAAGTCTTGACTCATTTCAGCATTAACTCAAAAGTCCACAGTCCAAAGTCTATCTGAGACAAGGCAAGTCCCTTCTGCCTATGAGCCTGTAAAATCAAAAGCAAGTTATTTACTTTATAGATACAATGGGGTATGGACATTGGGTGAATACAGCTGTTACAAATGGGAGAAATTGACTAAAACAAATGGGCTATAAGGCCCCATGTAAGTCCAAAATCCAGTGGGGCCGTCAAATCTTAAATCTCCAAAATGATCTCCTTTGACTCCATGTCTCACATCCAGGTCACAGTGATACAAGAGGTAGGTTCCCATGGTCTTGAGCAGCTCTGCCCTTGTGGTTCTGCAGGGTATAGCCCCCCTCCTGGCTGCTTTCACGGGCTAGTGTTGAGCATCTGTGACTTTTCTAGGCACACAGGGCAAGCTGTCAGTGGATCTACCATCCTGGGGTCTGTAGGATGGTGGCCCTCTTCTCACAGCTCCACTAGGCAATGCCCCAGTACGGACTCTGTGTTGTGGGGGGCTCCAACCCCACATTTCTCTTCTGCACTGGCCTAGTAGAGGTTCTCCATGAAGGCCCCATCCCTGCAGCAAACTTCTGCCTGGGCATTCAGGTGTTTCCATACATCTTCTGAAATCTAGGTGGAGATTCCCAAACCCCAATTCTTGACTTCTGTGTACTCGCAGTCTCAACACCATGTGGAAACTGCCAAGGCTTGAGACTTGTAGCCTCTGAAGCCATGGCTCAAACTCTACATTGGCCCCTTTCAGGCATAGCTGGAGTGCTGGGACACAGGACACCAAGTCCTTAGGCTGCACACAGCACAGAGACCCTGGGTCCAGCCCACAAAACCACTTTTTCCTCCTAGGCCTTTGGGCCTGTGATGGGAGGGGCTGCTGTGAATACCTCTGACATGGCCTGGAGACATTTTCGCCATTGTCTTGGAGATTAACATCGGCTCCTCATTACTTATGAAAATTTCTGCAGCCGGCTTAAACTTCTCCTCAGAAAATGGGATTTTCCTTTCTATCACATTGTCAGGCTGCAAAATTTTCTGAAATTTTATGCTGTGCTTCTCTTATAAACCTGAATGCCTTTAACAGCACCCAAGTCACCTCTTGAATGCTTTGCTGCTTAGAAATTTCTTCCAGCAGATACCCTAAATCATCTCTCTCAAGTTCAAAGTTCCACAAATCTCTAGGGCAGGGGCAAAATGTCACCAGTCTCTTTGCTACAACATAACAAGAGTCACCTTTGCTCCAGTTCCCAACAAGTTCTTCATTTCCATCTGAGACCACCTCAGCCTGGACTTTATTGTCCATATCGCTATCAGCATTTTGGGCAAAGCCATTCAACAAGTCTCCAGGAAGTTCCAAACTTTCCCACACTTTCCTGTCTTCTTCTAAGCCCTCCAAACTGTTGCAACCTCTGCCTATAACCCAGTTCCAAAGATGTTTCCACATTTTCAGGTATCTTTTCAGCAGCACCTCACTCTACAGGTACCAATTTTCTGTATTAGTCTGTTTTCACACTGCTGATAAAGACATACCTGAGACTGGTCAATTTACAAAAGAAAAAGGTTTAGTGAACTTACAGTTCCACATAGCTGGGGAAGGCCTCACAATCATGGTGGAAGGCAAGGAGGAGCAAGTCACATCTTGCGTGGATGGCAGCAGGCAAAGAGAGCTTGTGCAAGGAAACTCCCATTGTTAAAATCATCAGATCTGGTGAGGCTCATTTGCTGTCATAAGAACAGTACAGGAAAGACTCCCGCCCCCCGCCACCACTAGGATTCAATTACCTCCCACCTGGTTCTTCCCATAATAAATGAGAATTTTGGGAGTTACAATTCAAGTTGAGATTTGGGTTGGGACATAGCCAAACCACATCAGGAGGTATATTCTTCATCTCTTTTGGTGCTTCTTATTTGCAGGCAAACTATGTTCTGGCAGCCTGAGGGTAGAAATTGGTGCTGACCATTGGTATTAAAAGTAAACTGGTAGCTGGTATGGACAAAAATGATGAAAATATCTGAGGGATGTGAGTAGAACAGTACTGGTATCAACTACCCCATGCTTCCTGAAGTTTAATGTGCATAAAAATCTCCTAGGGGTTTTATTAAAATGGGCATTCTAATTCAATACATCTGGGCAGGACTTCCAGGCAATTCTTCTGTTGCTGGTCCACCAACACCTGCCTCAGCTCCTGGTAGGTCTAAAAATGAGGAAGAGATGGTTTTCATTTTATCACCTCTTCTTGCCCTCACTTCACTCTCTCAGAACAACTTGGACTACTCAGAGCATCCTTCAAGTGGGGCTACTTGATAAACTCTACTGTAATATTAATATTTAGAGAAAGCAAAATATTATATCAGTTGCTATTTATGTTTTCTGACCAAGCACTACACTAAAAAGTATTCATTGTGACTCCTATACGTGTATCAACTGAAACAAAGGTGTCATGAACTATAATTGTAAATGCATTCTACCACTTTCTATTCTATTAATTTGTTCACTCTCATAAACTAAAATTTTATTTCAGAGCACACTACTAGGTGTCAACCCACAATTTTTTAAAAAAAAGACCCAAATTATGGTGGAAACAACTGAGATTCCCATAGGTAATATTTTTTGTTCCATTTATGAAAAATTGGGTTTACTTATTCATGGTCTGTCTGAGATAGGTAAGTACAGTCATCTCTCTGTATCCATGGGGCATTGGTTTCAGAACCCACACAGATGCCAAACTCCTCAGATACTCAAATCCCTTATATAAAATGACATAGTATTAACATATGGTCTATGAATATCCTTTTGTGTACTTTAAAACATCTCTAGATTTTGTATAATACCCAATACAGTGTAAATGCTATGTAGATAGTTGTTATACTATGCTTTTATTTGTGTTACATTTATTGTTGTATTGTTCTTTTTATCTTTTGAAATGTATTTGATCTGTGATTGGTTGAATCCATGGATGCAGAACCCACAGATACAGAGGGCCAACTATACTTGGAGGCAGATCAGAATTATGGAAGTCCTTCAAGCATATATATATATAAAATTTTTTCTTTTTTAGATAGAGTTTCACTCTTGCTACCTAAGCTGGAGTGTAATGGAGTATTCTTGGCTCATCGCAACCTCTGCCTCCTGGGTTCAAGCAATTCTCTTGCCTCAGCCTCCCGAGTAGCTGGGATTACAGGGGCCTACCACCATGCCCGGCTACTTTTTTGTATTTTTAGTAGAGACGGGGTTTCACTATGTTGGCCAGGCTGGTCTCAAACTCCTGACCTCAGGTGATCCACCCACCTCGGCGTCCCAAAGTACTGGGATTACAGGCGTGAGCTACCATGCCTGGCCTCCAAGCTTATATTTTTAAAATATTTGCTCTATGTTCATTTGGAGTGGAAGCTGAGCTGCCTGAAAGACTGGTGGAAAGGGAAGAAGGATGAATCTATGTTGTAGTGGGGCTACCACAGACAGCAAAACAATGGCTCTGCAGCCAACTGGACCAAATTCCTTAAATGGTGCACTAGGAACCACCTGTTGTTGCCCATACACATGCTGGAGAGATCCCATTTCCTTAGCCTTGGCCCAGGTACCTGGTGTCTTGCCCAAATATTTCTTCCAAATATTTAGTTCCTCTGAGAGAAGTTCTAGTTGATACATATTTCTCCATCTTGCCAAAGTCCAGATGACATTTCTTTGCCTCTTACAACCTGAGAGTTGATCAGCTGTGCAGCTGGCACACACTTTAGTAATTCGATTTTAAACCCATTTATTTAACCTGCTTATGTTAAGCACATGTTATTCTGCATCAGGCACTGTGGCTGTCCAATGGCTAGTGAGAGAGCTAAGTTCCTGCTGTCAAGGAGCTTGCCATTCATTGAGGATGACACAAAAACATGAGAAGAGCAATGGCAGAGTCAAAACACAGCCACAGGAACCCACAACAGAAGTATCTAAACAGGAGTTAGCAAAATTTTTCTATAAAGGACCAGAAAGTAAATATTTAGAGCTCTGTAGGCCATATATCCCTTGTCACAATTATACAACTCTGTGAAGGCAGCTGTAGACAATAAATAAACCCCTGAGCATGTCTGTGTTCAAACAAAACTTTATTTACAAGAAGAGGAAGCAAGCCAGATTTGGCCTGTGGACCATAGTTTATGAACCCCCAATCTATCTAAAAGAGTCTAGGGAGGATCAGAGGAGGCTGATCCTCTAGAAATGAATATTAAAACATTCCCAAAGACAGACACAAGTTATCCTACTAATGAGAACGGAGAACCAGAACAAAGAGACTCAGAAGTAATTGAGAGATCATATTGAAAGAACTGAAAGATATTCAGTGTGGCTATAGCTTAGATTTTCTTAGGGATGTGTAGGACATTTCTTGTGTGTCTGTCCATCTAACACCTGAAGCCTATTTTCATGTTTAGGTAATTCCCCCACTTTATGAGTTGTGGTAGGCGGTAAACTTCCTTACCTGTTGTGGCTGAAAATGGTAGGTACTTGTAGTTCCGGTCTTTCTCCTAGCTAAGGCATAGGCATGTAGCCAGAACACCACTAATCAGATATGTCCCAGCCAGACTTCAACTCATAAACCAGCAATAAAAGAGAGAAAGAGATAAATCAGAAGACCAATCATTCATTCTCCCTCCCTGTCTGTCTCTTTCTTTCTGTCTCTCTCCCATCCAACTTGAACTTAGCAGTGGCTGCAGAGATGAAATGTACTAAGCCTGTAGAGCAAGTAAACATTTGGCACTTGTTACTAAGTGTTTCCATGTCAGGCCACTTCTGCAGTGATATTTTGATCATTGTTCCTGGAAGCTAAGGTTCATGACTAGTTCTCCAACCCATGGAACATTTTAGGAGCTACCCTGTGCCCTTTTAATAAACTCTTCTTGTATAACTTCAGCTAGAGTCAGATTTTGTTGTTTGCAACTAAGAAGTATGACCGATGAAGGAGTATTAAAACAGAGGTATGAGAAACCAAGTTATGGAAGACCCCTCAAAGTATGTTAACATGCTTTGAACTGATTATTAATGTTGTGAGAAGCCATTGAAAGATATTAAGGAAGAGGATAGTGTAAGCGGATTTGCAATGTAGAAAATTTGCTCTGTAAGCTCCCAGAGGACAGGGTTTTTATTTTTAATGTTGTTTGCTATTCTCTGCTCAGTGTTTTAAACAGTACCTAATATAGAGTAGGTAATAAAGAAGTTTGGTGAATGAGTGATGATTTCTTATCAAATTTAATTTCAATGTGATGAGAACACTTAACATGAGATCTACCCTCAATAAATTTTTAAGTGTACAATAGAGTATGGTTAAGTATAGGCACAATGTTGTCCAGCAGATCTCTAGAACTTAATCATCTTGCTTAACTAAAATTTTATGCCTGTTAGTTAGTAAATCTCAATCTTCCCCTTGCCCCAACATCTGGGAACCACCATTCCACTCCTTGATTCTATGAATTCGACTTCTTTAGATACTTCATATAAGTGGAATCATGTAGTATTTGTCCTTCTGTGACTGGCTTATTTGACTTAGCATAATATCCTCAAGGCTCATGAAATTTTTAATGAATGAATTGGAGGAAGAAGCCCCACAGGGAAGGTTGTTGTGGTAAATTAAGTAAGTGATGATAGTGACCTCGACCAGGTTAAATGATTTAGAGAAATACATGGATTCGAAAGATAGATCTGTAGGAGACAGAATCTAAATACTGTGCATAGAAATTACATATTAATATTTTCAAATGCAAATAAGCTTTGAAATTAAACTTATAATAGTATAAGTTTCTATAATTAAATGTAATATTAATAGAGAGGGAAGGCAGGGAAGTATGTGTTTCAAACCCTTTTTTTTATCTGCCACAAACAGCCCCAGTTCTATAGAACTAGCTCTATCAAAAGAAGGATGCATAAGTTCAATATGAGTAAGAATGCCAAGAAAATGAACAAACCGAGTTTAAATAATCATTTAGAGCTAAAGAGATAAACATAATGTCAACTACAGTTGTTCCAACCATTTTCAAATTATACTATTAATTCCTGCATTATGTGGGTTACGCAGGCTGTCACTTTTTAAATAAGCCTAACAGTAGATTCAGTTAAGTAGACTAGGAGGATTTAAAAGATAAAACCAGATTGGCATTCAACACTTCTTTTTCCTAAGCCCATCAGAGATGACTTAATAAAAAGGAAACAGAATATTAATTTTTCTGAAATCTCGTTTGCTTGAATGACCTTGGTAAAAGCAAGTAGGTGAATTTATAAATTAGTTTAATTGACTGTTATTACCATTCTGCTATTTCACTGGAATAATTCACTGGTCATTCAAGTTGATTCACTAATGGAGCAGATAGATAAGGTATGCAGAGGAAGAATCACCACTACAGTTCAATAATTTTCCCCAAAGCCTCCTCCCAAGTTGTATATCTTAACATGGAATTTTATTTAACATTCTCAAAACAACACTCTATAATGTAGAAAATGAGGTTATCAGTGAACAATATTTGCATAATACCCTTTCTGCAATAGTGAGCAGCGTTGGTATTCTGAAAAAATCTGCATGTCTTTAAAGACCAACAAAACTACTTTGATAAAATTAAGTCAAAAATATTCTGGGATACAACAGGAAATGCATGTTGTCTGGATTACTATGTCCAGTGGAATTTTAGGTTATGATGAATGAAGGATGGATTCTTAGTCCCTTTCTTTCTAGCAAATAAATTTAGTCAAGTTTTTAACATATTCATGCTGCAATTTTAGTTTTTTGGGGAAAAAAAATCAACAAACTAGTTTAAATATTATTACCAGTTAGCAACCTCTGACGTTATAGATGTATTGAGCAGGCCGGCCTTTTGGTCTAATCTGGTGGCTCCAGAAAACTGACTCAACCCTCCCCTCAACAATACAGGCAAGTGCATTAATAGCATTTCTATTACCTGTAAGAGCAATTCTCAGCTTTACAATGATGCTAAATTAACATATTTATCAGACTATTGAAATGAAGATTAGCCGTGAAGGAAAGGGAATGAGAAATGCAAAAATTCTGCTTTGGGAATTTTCCCTTTGGGGGGGAAACAGAGGCACAGAAGGATAGAGAAGGGATGTTTTTCACTGCCTGGTTTCATCGGTCTTATTTCCAGACTCTGTCAGGCTCACTGTGATTTATTTAATGAAGGTCAGTGAGAGAACACATTAAATGCTTTAAGTTGAGCAAAAAGCAGGAAACCTGTGTGTACCACTATAATAAAACTACAGGCTGAAAGGAAAAATTTCACACCACCAATAATTTTGTCTACATGCCACCAACTAATAAGATGTTTTGTTTTTATTGGAATGACCAATGGTGCCTCCGCGACAAGAAATACAAAGCACTAACATCATTAACACACTTTTATCCCTGCAGGTAGCACAGTGCTGTACAATGGACGGTGACGAATAAATATTTGCTGAATAAATGAAGAATTTTATATGTGGCCTTCCTTTTTTCATGGTCCACAAATTCATGGTCCCTAACCTAAGCCCTGCCTTTAGTACTTTCTAGATATCTTGTTGCTTTTGTCTCTTTTCCTGTCCTGTTCTTTTCTAAATCACTATATCAAATGTCCCTAATTCTTCTCACCAACTGATCCAACCTATATGCTTCTGATTTTATAATCTTTTTCAAGTTAATTTCCATCACCTACAAATTTACCCATACCCACAAACACCCTGCCTTTCTCTCCTCCAGGCTAAGAAGACAGGTGCTCCTTCTCTGTTTAAGCCAATCTATCCACAGGTGTCTTTTTCTCTCTTATACAGGGCTATACAGTCTTCCTTACTCTCTTACGTGTCTTTTAAAAAGAAAGCAAATTTTAATTATTCATGATGTAATTGTCAGTACCAGCTTATAAAAGTATATATTTTCAAGCATATCATTGAAAAATCTTTCAAATTGTCAATTCAAAAGTACATTAAAAAATCAAACTCTGTAGAAAATCAATGACTTTATTGCAGAACCATGTAATATTATTGTTGGATAATCTCTTTACCAGCAGTCACTGTGTTTTCTTCATTCATTAATAGTCTAAATGGTCCATCATCTGATAGCTGCTACCCTTCCAGAACTTTTTCATTTTTTTCTCAACCATTTTCTTTTGCTCAGCATGTGAAGAAATCCTCTCCTCTGAAAAACTAAAAATTATTCTTTATCCCATGTGTTCTCATCAGCTCAGTATTTTTTTTCATTCCAGCTTTACTCCAGGAGGATTTCATCCTCATTCAAGATTTAATTTACTTGTTTAAGGTTGAAGAACTCTAATTTTAACTTCTCAGTTCAGATTGCTTCCTTGAAATTTATATGTACAAATGTCTGCTTGTCACATCATCCATTATTTTATTCATTCATTCAATGTATTTGTTGCATATCTACTTTGTGCCAAGAATGGCTTAGTAATAGCAATGGAAAGTTCAAAAACAGATGAGGTCCATAACCTCATGAAGCATTACAGTTTAAAAATCATGTAAGGAAATAATCACAAAATTAAATTCCGATATGAAAAATGCAGTGAAACAGAGGAAGGTATATCTAAAAGGGAGCATTCCAAACCCTCTGTGGTTGCTTCTTGTTTAGTATTATTTCTCAGTTGGTGCTTTTGCTAGACTTCCAAGTTCCTTATAAGATACAAGGGAGTTGGCATTTTCCCCCCCTTAATCTTGATAGAATCCATCCTCAAGTTCATTTTTCCAACTTTAATATTTGCCTGCTTTAATCTATCCATGCACAGTTGTCATAGGGACTTACATGAAACTCAAATCTGACCATGTCATTAATCTACTATTTTGATAAGGATAATTTGTGTTGGATGCTGTAATGAACAGAACCAATATCTCCTTGGCAGAGCTCCTCTCTGTTCCAGTGATTCTGTTCTTTCCAATTTGTCAGGCTGCCATTTCAAGCCATGTCTTTGGGGACACTAAGGAGTGGATAAGAATGAGCTGAGAATGTCAAAGATAATTTTAACAGCACGCCCAGGTCACATAGCCATTCATATTGCATTATCCAGAAGGTTATATGACCCCACCTAATTGCAAGAGAGGCCAGGGAACGTAGTTGATATTCTTTGGCTATTTGTCTAGCTAATCTCATCTTGAATTCCCATGTCTTGTGGGAAGGACCTGGTGGGAGGTAATTGAATCATGATAGCAGGTCTTTTGCATACTGTTCTCATGATAGTGAATAAGTCTCACGATATCTGATGGTTTTATAAGAGGGAGTTTCCCTGCACAAGCTCTCTCTTTTCTGCTGCCATGTAAAATGTACCTTTCACTTTCTACCATGATTGTGAGGCCTCTCCAGTCATGTGGAACAGTGAGTCCATTAAACCTATTTTTCTTGCCAGTCTCGGTTATGTCTTTAACAGCAGTGTGAAAGTGGACTAATACAATAGTCTTCTTAGGTGCATAGGAAAAACAAAAATCATGAAATTGTGAATATCAAGCAGATCTTGGCCTGAATGGCTTTAATAGGCTTTGTTAACTTCTCACAGTTTAAATAACTTGAATTCTAGCATCTGAATGTGGATTTTAAGGCCAGCATCTCCACTGCCTTTTTCTGTCTTCTTTCTTTGTTTTTCATATCCCTTTCCACTCTTGACCTTTTCTTTCTCCCTCTCTTTAAAAAATTTCTATATCTGTATTTTCTTAGCTGGGTATATTTTTCTACTGTATATTGTATGCAAAAATGAATTGCTTCTCACAATTTTGTGTTTTAGATATTAAAATCAACTACATTTTAAAACTATACTTACAGAAATCCTTTCCTAAGGAAGGCTTTGTGGGTTTTTTTTTTTTTGTATGAATTACTAACTCAGTGAAGTATTTCTAGGTGCAAACTTGAAGCCTTAATACCTCAACTGCATGTAACATTTCAGAAATGATGCTGAGAGAGAAGATTTACAGATGTCAAAACATGCCCTCTGTCTAAAAGGGCAGTTCTTTCAAGGATACCAAGAAAAGAAATATTTTCTAAATACCTTTTCTGTCTCTTAGTCTTTTCACCAAAGTAAATATATGACCATCCCTAGAGCTGAGATCCAAGTCTGGACAGAACTGGTCACCAGGGCATAACATCTGAGGGGCTAGCATTGAACTGACTGTGGCCTGAGCTCTATGCCTGCAGAGTGGGATTAAAAGCAGTTTGCAGAGGCCTCATGCTCAAAATTATTTTTCCCATGAACCATCCCAACATCACCATCACTCTATCACATTGCCTGGTATCAGATGGATTTAGGACTGAATGTATCTAATTGTATAAAATAGGCTAATAATACCTATCTCACAGGGCTATTGCCAGGAAGAAATTTGACACCACAGTGAAGTTTTCAAGTATTTCCTTTTTTTCAAATTATTAATATTACTAACATTGACAAAGTCCATGGAAACATATGTAAACACCTAATATATAATAGACCATTAAACAGCTCTCTATTATTTATTTATGGCTATGGAGGTAGTCATATTTCAATTGATATCTATAAGAGATAGTTCAATAATTATCTCTGAGGTATATTATCTATGAGCTATTATCTACAAGAAAAATAAAACCCACTATAGTGTTATTAGCATGTTTATCAACAGAGGAAAATTATAATCTATTATGATACATCTATTGTTATAGTGTCTGTAATGTACTTTGAAAAGTTTTGGTGTTAGACAATGTGATATATGTGTGTATCTTAGTCTAAATTTATATTCATGGTGGATAATTAACCAACAAACCACAGTGACCTGAGGTCCATACAATAAAAGTTTTAAAATAAGGCTTTGGATATCCAAATTGATGACGAGTCATTAATTAGGATAAGGGATGTTAGAAATAATTTCAGTCTGTGAAATGGTGCAGGAAGATCCATGACCTGTTAGAAAGTATAGATGGACTAGCAAGAAGGACCTCAGTCTCAAGGTTAGGAGACAGCAGGCATGCAAACTGGTGTGGGGGAAATAAAATTAGACAGCATGGGACAGGTTCACTATTATGAACTGGGGTAGGATGAGCAATGTTTCTCTGCACCCAAAGATATCCACATTATACACCCAGAACCTTTGAATATGTTACCTTATGTGGCAAAAGGGACTCTGCAGATGTGATTAAGTATCTCGAGATGGGGAGAATATCCTGGTTTATCCAGGTGAGCTTGATGTGATCACAACAGTTGTTACAAGGGGGAGGCAGGGGGCAGCAGAGTCAGCCAGAGGAGAAGGCAAGGTGATGATGGGAGCAGAGCTTGGTAGTAATGTGCTTTGCAGATGGAGGAAGGGGCAATGACCACTGGAAGCTGAATAAGGCAGCACTCAAACCCTCCCCTTAGAGTCTACTGATAGATGAAACTAGACCTGTGGACACTTTTATTTTAACTCTTTAAGATTGATTTCAAACTTCTGGCCTTGAGAACTGCAATAGAATAAATTGGTGTTGTTCTGAGTCACTAAATTTGTGGTAACCCATTATAGCAGCAACAAGGAAACTAATACATGAACTCATGCCTGCTCTTTGAATATGTTAAACTCCATACCTTGAATTGGCTTTATCTATACCCATGCCAAAATTGTATCTTAGTTGAATGAGATAATCTGAAATTAATTATGCACACTGTGAGGAGGGCAGGACCAGCAGAGAAAATGTGTAAGAAAAAAAAAAAAAGGACAGGGATTATTGGGTGCAGAGTCACCCATCCATTTTTTTCCTGAAATTTTTTTGATTTTAGGATTAAATACCTAGCTAGGAAGAAAATATTTTCTAAACATCTCTTCAGGTATTTAACGCCACGATTTCAGGATAGGTCCTGAAAACAACTGTTTCATCATTCACTATTTTACCTTGGTCAGCTCCACAGAACCGACGGCCTTTGTAAGAAACTTGCTTGAATGTATTACCTATGTGGGGCTGAGGAGAGGGAGCTCTAGTTCAGTTATATCTAATTTTAATTCCTAGTGCAATTATAGAGTGTATTTATTAGTAGCCAGAAGATGACTAGAAAATGAAACAATTAAGAGCAATAAAGATTCTCATACTCCAAAAGAACAACATGTCCTGTGCCAAATCATCCTGACTTAAGCAGTAACTGGAAACCCCACAGAGATAAGGTGGAAATATTGAAAAAAAATTCATATCCTGACAACTCACTTCCGCAAGCTTCACTATAGGGAGACTGTATTCATCTCAAACCTCGAGTTTAGCATTTGGCTTAAATAGGCATATTAGGTCAAAAACGCTCTTAAGATATTAACAAAATATGTAAGGCTAATAAGGATTCTGTGTGGATGATGGCAAAAATTGCATGTTGAGTTATTGTGCCAATAGCCCTCATGAAGGAAACAGAGAAATGGGCTTCAGGGAAGATTGACGTTGATCTGTGATTCCAAGTGTTCCATAAAGAGAACACCAAATTCCACCTCTGATAGAGTGGTGACTTGGGGACATTGACTGACTCTCCCACTGAAAACCACTAAAAATGCCTAGTAAGATATAAATAAATATAGTTGTAAACGAATTAATAAGCTGTCAAATTAGTAAGAAATATTTAGAGGCTATAAATGGAGTAAAAGTTGGCTTTTGTCAGAAGGGCATTTGCTGAATAGGGAGACGTCGAGCTTTGGTCTTCATCCCTTCACAGGGCATTTGGGGTCAGAGGCATAGTTCAGGGCCAGCCCAAGGTGGGCATCTAGCAAAAGAATCCCCAGATAATTTAGGTACCACAAAAAACTATACATGCGGTATAAAGGTAATGTAGAAATAGTACCCTGAAGCTCAGGTAACATCAAATAGTGAAATTCTTAGGCAGATAATATAAAATAAGTATTTTAATATGTTTAAAGTAGAAGAGATATGAACACTAATTGTACTATTATTATGCTTGAAATTTTTGTTGAAATTTTATCCTTTCGGATGTTTTAGATTTCTCAAACCAAAAGTTAGTGGGAAAAACCTAGGACCAGAAGCAATCTTCCTTAACATGAAAAAGGATAAATTAAAAAATGTACAGCAAATATCTTACTTAATAGTGAAATGTTAAAAGCATTTGCCTAAGGCATTGGTGTTCAATATCATCACTTTTATTTAAAATTACATGGAGTTCCTAGCACTAAGACAAAGAAAATAGAAAAGGATTATAAGCCAGAAAGAAAGATATAATGTAGACAACATGATCATCTGTAAAGAAAACTCAAATAAAATAATAATACCTCATTAAAATGAATAAAATGGTTTCATAAATCTGCTAGATATGAAATCAATGTACAAAATAAGTTAAATTCTGAGACTTCTGGTTTCTGGTCTGGCATGAAAGGAGCTTAGAAGCTGTCATCATACCTAACAACAAGTAAAAAGCCCAACAAACTGAAAAATTAGCAACTCATCTTAGATCTGTCAGAGAAGTAAGATCACATGGCAAACTGCTGCTCCCCAAATTGAAGAGACAGGCAGATACAGAGAATCACAACTTACCTGAGCAGGAACCTTTGTGGGAACCATTACCAGGGTAGAGAAACGTACACTGTAATTGATGAATTGCTGAAGTCTTAATGTAAACAAGCCTGAGAGATAAAAACCCCAAGGGGCACAGTAATAAACAGGGGGCCTAACACTTTTGTGAGTTCTACCTCCAGGAGCTCTACCAGGCTCTATCACACTCATTTTCAATGAGAAAAATCTCACTGGGCTTCCAATAGGGGAAGAAGAAAAGTAACCATTTTGAAATATGCCAGAGCATTCTCTCCTTCTTTATAAGGCATATCATCAAGATAAACTATTTTACCAAAGCCTAACTTGGTGGGATTTTACCAGAGCCTAACTGACCTAGGGGAAGAGAAGTACCCATCTCCAGCCAGCTCTAGCCATCCTGTGTCATCTAACAGGGTGAAATATACAAACAAACTGAAAAGCACTTGTGAAGCTCACAGCCCAGGGACACAGGCTCATTAAAAGCTTGAGACCTAATCCTCTAGGACTACAGAATTCTTCCCTATCTCTTCTATCATGTTTGCCTTTTAGCAAAAATTACAAGGCATACTGAAAAGCAAAAAAGACGATTTAAGAGACAGAGAAAGCGTCAAAACCAAACCCAGGTATGCAGGAATGTTGGAATTATCAGACCACAGATTTAAAACAACTGTGCTAAAGGATCTAATGTACAAAGTAGACAATATGCAAGAACAGATGAGTAATGTAAGCAGAGTGATGAAAATTCCAGGAAAGAGTTTGAAAAATGCTTGAGATAAAAAATACTGAGTCAAAACTAAATGCCTTTAATGGGATAATTAGTAGACTGGACATAGCCTTGAAAAGAATCTCTGAGCTTGAGGACAAGTCAATAGAAACTTTCAAAACTGAAAATCTAAGACAAAATAAAAATACTGAAAACCATAACAAAAACCTAGAACAGAATATCCAAGAACTCTGGAAAAACCACAGAGTATATAACATATGAGTAATGGAATAAGAGAAAGAGAAGAGAGAAAAAGACACGGAAGATATACTTGAAGCAATGATAATTGAGAATTTCCTCAACTTCATGTCATATACCAAACTAAAGATCCAGGAAGCTCAGAGAATGCTCTAATAGTGGATACATGTCATCACATGTGTCAACAGCCATAGATTGTAGAATACCAAGCATGAACCCTAATGTAAACCATTGACTTTGGGTAATAATGATGTGTTAATGTAGGTCCATTGAACATAACAAATGTTCCACTCTGGTGGGTGAGGCTGAAGTGGGAAAGATTGCATATGTTGGGGGTGGTGGGGATGGTGCAAATGAAACAATATACCTGCCAAAGGAGGTAAATGGAAACATTAATTTCCCCTCAATTTTGCTGTGAATCTAAAACTGCTCTAAAAGATAAAGTTGACTAAAATTTTTTAAAGTTGATTATCTATATCATAATAGTTTAGAAAATGTATTTTTAAAACTAAGATACCATTTGTAATAGTATCAGTAATACAAAATGGCTAGCAATGTATCTATCAAAATTTGACCAATGGAAAAAAAAAAAACCCAAAGCAAAGAGGCATGAGTAAACTTTTAGAGGTGATGGATACGTCTACCATCTTGATTGTGTTAATGAAACAATGGCACACACATATAGGTATTAGAATGGTAAATTGGTAAAACCACTTTGTAAAAACAGTTTGGCATTGTCTAGCTAATTTGAGTAGTATATATTTAGTGACTAATCAATTTCATTCCTATATCAGAGAAGGTTTTACCCACATGTGCCAGGTCACATATAACAGAATGTAGATAGTGGTATATTTATCTGATTCGATACTAGATCATTGAAGATGAATGGATTGCAATTTGAAGCAAAAAATTGATTTTCAGGAACATAATGCTGCAGAAAGAATTCTACAGAAGACACACAGTATATACACATTAATATAAAGCCAAAACTGTACATAATTAAATAATGTATATGGTTACTTTTGAAGGTTAATGCAATTAAGTGAGATGTCCTGGGATTCACAGGGATTCAAAAGTGATGGTAATTTTCTGTTAATTAAAATTGGTCATGGGTAACTAGGTGCTTGTTTTTTCTTAACTTATGTATATTTCATAAAAATTATTTTGTATATCTTCAATAGTTAATTTAACAATTTATTTTTTAAAAATTGCTGAGAGGTTTTCACTTAGAGGAATCTCAATATATCTACTTATTTTCTAAGGATTACTTTAAAAATTGTCCACAGGCCGGGCATGGTGGCTCATGCCTGTAATCCCAGCACTTTGTAGGCTGAGGCAGGTGGATCATGAGGTCAAGAGATCGAGACCATCCTGGCCAACATGGTGAAACTCCACCTCTACTAAAAATACAAAAATTAGCTGGGTGCGGTGGCACATGCCTGTAGTCTCAGCTACTTGAGAGACTGAGGCAGAAAAATCGCTTGAACCCGAGAGGCGGAGGCTGCAGTGAGCCGAGATTGAGCCACTGTACTCCAGCCTGGGGACAGAACGAGACTCCATCTCAAAAAAATAAAAAATAAAGAAAAAATTATCCACAGTATTTTAAAATATGTACTATATTTTAAAATGCAAAAATTTTAATAGTACTTTTCTGAAAAACTTTTCCCAATATCTGCTTCACTTAGTAGTTTTCCTTTATATACCATCTAGGCTTAATTCTTCGAAATTTTGGAGTACAAATTCACTTATTTCAACCACAATTGAATTCCATGCCTTTTGAAAGCAGTCTGGCCTGAAGACCCTCTTATATGCTTTACCCCTTGCCAGAAGAAATCTTCTCTAAAATTTTTATTTTAGGTTCAAGGGTACATGTGCAGTTTTGCTATTAGGTTGATGCAAAAGTAATTATGGTTTTTGCCAACATTTTTAATTGCAAAAGCCACAGTTACTTTTGTGCCAACCTAATATATAGGTAAATTGCATGTCACAGAGGTTTGGTGTACAGATTGTTTCATCACCAGGTAATAAGCATAGTACCCAATAGGTAGTTTTTCAATCCTCTCTCTCCTACTCTCCACCCTCAAGTAGGCCCTGCTGTCTGTCGTTCTGTTCTTTGTGTCCATATGTACTCAATGCTTTTGTCTAACTTATAAGTGAGAACATGCAGTATTTGGTGTTCTGTTTCTGCATTAGTTTGCTTAGGATAAAGGCCTCCAGCTCTATCCATGTTATTGCAAAGGACATTATTTCACTCCTTTTTATGGCTGCAGGACATTCCATGGTGTATCTATACCAGTTTCTTTACCAGTATACAATTGATGGGCATTTAGGTTGATTCCATGTCTTCTCTATTGTGAATAGTACTGTGATAAACATATGTGGGCATGCATATGTCTTTATGGTAGAACAATTTATATTCCTTTCAGCATATACCCAGTAATGCGATTGCTGGGTTGAATGGTAAATCTGTTTTGAGTTCGCTGAGAAATCACCACACTGTTTTCTACAACGGCTGAACTTTTTTTCTACAACCTCACTAGCATCTATTACTTTTTGACTTTTTAATAATAGCCATTCTGACTGGCATGAGATGGTAGCTTATTGTGGCTTTGATTTGCATTTCTCTAATGATTAGTGATGTTGACCATTTTTTCATACGCTTGTTGGTCGTGTGTATGTCTTCTTTTGAAAAGTGTCTGTTCATGTCTTTTGCCAACATTTTAATGAGGTTGCTTGTTTTTGGCTTGTAAATTTGTTTACGTTCCTTACAGATTTTTGATACTAGATCTTTGTTGGATGCATAATTTGCAAAAAAATTCTCCCATTCTGTAGGTTGTCTGTTTACTGTGTTGATAGTTTTTTTTGCTGTGCAGAAGCTCTTTAGTTTAATTAGGTCCCATTTGTCAATTTTTGTTTTTGTCGTAATTGCTTTTTGTCATGAAATCTTCACCAAGATATACGCAGAATGGTATTTCCTAGGTTATCTTCCAGGTTTTTATGTTTTACGTTTAAGCCTTTATTCCATCTTGAGTTGATTTTTGTATGTGGTGTATTATGTAAAGGGCTCAGTTTCAATCTTTTGCATATGTGTAGATGGTTATCTTAGCCCTATTTATTAAATAGAGAGTCTTTTTTGTATTGTCTGTTTCTGTCGACTTTATCAAAGAACAGGTGGTTCTAGGTATGTGGCATTACTTCTGAGCTGTCTATTCTGTTCCATTGGTCTATGTGTCTGTTTTTGTACTAGTACTGTAATGTTTTGGTTACTGTAGCCTCGTAGTACAGTTTGAAATTGGGTAACATGATGCCTTCAGCTTCGTTATTTTTGCTTAGGATTGCCTTAGCTATTTGGGCTCTTTTTTCTTTCCACATGAATTTTAAAATAGTTTTTTTCTAATACTGTGAAGAATGTCATTGGTAGATTGACAGGAATAGCATTGAATCTGGAGATTGCTCTGAGACATATGACCATGTTAACACTATTGATTCTTCCTATTCATGAGCATAAAATATTTTTCCATTTGTTTGTGTCATCTGTGATTTCTTTAAGCAGTGTTTTGTAATTCTTATTATGAAGATTTTTTCACCTTTCTGGTTAGCTGTATTCCTAGGTATTTTATTCTTTTTGTGGCTACTGTGAATGGGATTGTGTTCTTGATTTGGCTCTCAGCTTGGGTGTTGTTGATGTGTATTTATGCTACTGATTTTTGTAAATGGATTTTGCATCCTGAAACTTTACTAAATTTGTTTATCAAATCTAGGAGCATTTGGGCAGAGATTATGGGGTTTTCTAGGTATAAAATCATACTATCTGCAAACATATAGTTTAACTTTCTATCTTACTATTATGATGTCTTTTATTTCTTTCTCTTGCCTTTTCCTCTAGCTAGGACTTACAGTACTATGTTGAATAGGAATGGTGAGAGTGGGCTTTCTTGTCTTGTTCTGGTTCTCAAGGGAAATGCTTCCAGCTTTTTCCCATTCTGTATGATGTTGGCTGTGGGCTTGTCATAGATGGCTCTTACTATTTTGAGAAATGTTTCTTCAAGACCTACTTTGTAGAGCCTCTAGCTTTTTAACATGAAGCTGTGCTGAATTTTATCAAAAACCTTTTCTGCATGTATTGAGATGATCATGGGGTTTTTGTTTTTAGTTCTGCTTATATGATGAATCACATTTATTGATCTGTGTGTGTTGAACCAACTTTGCATCCAAGGAATAAAGCCCACTTGATTATGGTGAATTAAGTTTTTTACATGTGGTTGGATTTGGGTTGCTAGTATTTTGTTGAGGATTTTTGCATCTGTGTTCATCAAGGATATTGGCCTGAAGTTTTATTTTGTGTGTTTGTGTGTCTCTTCCAGATTTTGCTATCAGGATGATGCTGCCCTCATAAAATGAGTTAAAGAGGAGCTCTTCCTCATCTATTTCTTGGAATAGTTTCAGTAGGAATGATATCAGCTTTTCTTTATTTACCTGTAGAAATTGGCTGTGAATCCATTTGGTTTTGAACTTTTTCTGGTTGGTAGGCTTTTTATTACTGATTCAATTTTGGAAATTATTATTGGTCTATGCAGAGATTCATTCAATTTCTCCTTCATTCAATTTTGGGAGGCTGTATATTTCCAGTAATTTATCCATCTCTTCCAGGTTTTCTAGCTTGTGTGCATAGAGATGTTCATAGTAGTTTCTGAGGGCTTTTTGTATTTCTGTGGGTTTGATGGTAACATACCCTTTGTCATTTCTGATTGTGTTTATTTGGCTCTTCTCTCTTTTCTTGTTTATTAATCTAGCTAGTGGTCTAGCTATCTGATTTATCCTTCAAAAAACCAACTCCTGGACTCATTGATCTTTTCAAAGGTTTTTTTACATCTCAGTTTCCTTCAATTAACCTCTGATTTTGTTTATTTCTTGTCTTCTGTTAGCTTTGGGGTTGGTTTGCTCTTGTTTGTCTAGTTCTACTAGGTGTGATGTTGTGTTGTTAATTTGAGATCTTCCAAACTGTTTAATGTGGCTATCAAGTGCTATAAACTTCCCTCTTAACATTGCTTTTCTGTGTCCCAGAAATACTGGTATGTTTTATCTTTGTTCTCGTTAGTTTCAAAGAATTTCTCAAATACTGCCTTAATTTCATTGTTTACCCAAAAGCCATTCAGGAGCAGGTTGTTTAATTTCCATGAAATTTTATGGCTTTGAGAGTACGTCTTAGTACTGATTTCAATTTTTATTGCCATGTGGTCCAAAAGTGTGTTTGGTATGGTTTCATTTTTAAAACATTTTCTCTGGATTGTTTTATGGCCAATTGTGTGGTTGATAGCAGAGTATGTGCCATGTGCAGATGAGAAGAATGTATATTCTATTGTTTTTGGGTGGAGTTCTCTGTGGATATCTATTAGGCCAATTTGGTCAAGTGTTGAGTTCAGGTTCTAAATGGTTTTGTTAGTTTTTTACCCCTATGATCTGTCTAATAATGTCAGTGGGGTGTTGAAGTCTCCCACTATTATTGTGTGGTTATCTAAGTCTTTTCATAGGTCTCCAAGAACTTGCTTTATAAATCTGGGTGCATACATATTTAGGATAGTTAATTCTTATTGAACTTAACCCTTTACCATTATGCAATGTACTTTTTTGTTTTCTTTTGGTCGTTGTTGTCTGAAATTAGAATAGTAATCCCTGCTTTTTTTGTGTTTTCCATTTGCTTGGTAGATTTTTCTCCATCCCTTTACTTTGAGCCTATGGGTGTCATTGCATTTGAGATGGGTCTCTTGAAGACAGCATAGAATTAGGTCTTGCTTCTTTGTCCAATTTACATTCAGCATTAATATTGATATTTGCAGATTTGATTCTGTCATTTTGTTGTTAGTTCTTAGAGTTGATCGTTTGGTTGCTTTATAGCATCAATGGTCTATATACTTAAGTATGTTTTTGTTGTGGCCGGTAATGGTCTTCCCACATTTAGCACTCCATTATGAGCCTCTTGTAAGGCAGGTATGATGGTAATGAATTCCTTCAGCGTTTGCTTGTCTGAAAAGGATCTCATTACTCTTTCACTTATGAAGCTAAGTTTGGCTGGATAATAAATTCTTGGCTGAAATTTTTCTTTAAGAGTGCTGAATATGGGCCTCCATTTTCTTTTGGCTTGTAGGATTTCTGTTGAAAGTTACACTATTAGCCTCATGAGGTTTCCTCTGTAGGTGACCTTCCCCTTGTTTCTAGCTGTCTTTAACCGTTTTTCTTTTATTTCAATTTTGGAGAATCTGATGACTATGTGTCTTGGTATTACCATTTTGTATGGTATCTTGTGGAGAGTTCTCTGCATTTCCTGGATTTGAATGGTGGCCTCTCTAGTGAGTTTGGGGAAATTTCATTAATTATATTCTCAAATATGTTTTCCAAGTTTCTTGCTTTCATTCCCTCTCTTTCAGAAATGCCAATGAGTCATAGATTTGGTCTCTTTACATAATCCCAGACACCTCAGAGGTTTTACCCAGTCTTCTTTACTGTATTTTCTTTATTTTTGTCTGACTGCATTATTTCAGAGAACCAGTCTTTGATCCCTGAGATTCTTTCTTCAGCTTGTTTACTTCTCTTGTCAATATTTGTGACTGTATTATGAAATTCTTGAAGTGAGTTTTTCAGCTGTATCAGATCAGTTCAGTTCTTTCTTAATATAGCCATTTTGTCTTTTATCTCCTGTACCATTTTATTGTATTCCTTAGATTCCTTGGATTGGGTTTCCACTTTTTCCTGAATGGCAATGATCTTTGTTCCTATCCACATACTGAATATTATTTCTATTCTTTCTGCCATTTCAGCATGGTTAAGAACTGTTGCTGAGGACTTAGTGCAGTCATTTGGAGGTAAGAAGACACTCTGGCTTTTTTAGTTGCCAAAGTTCTGGCACTGATTTTTTTCTCATCTGTATAGATTGATGTTTCTTCAAGCTTTGAAGTTGCCATTCTTTGGATGGGTTTTTTGTTTTTATCTTCTTTTACATACTTTGGGGCTTGATTACAGCATATCAGAGGTTCAGTTGACTGGGTTAATTTCTGAAAGATTTCAGGGGACTAACGTTCAGTTTAGCATTCCTAGTCTGTGTGTTATAATTTTGGAGGGCTGATACTAGGCCCCCAACTTTGTTATGTGGCCCCTTGAGGTTAGGAACCTGCTGTACTATAGGGGCCAAGGTGTTTTCAGTCCACTGGCAACGACACTCCGATGGATGGTGTTGTTCAAAGCACTTCATCAGGGTGGTGGCAGTGGGATCTGTGCTCACTCATGCATGCCAGAAGCCATGGCACTCTCTTCTTATTACCTCCTATATATCTTTTTCTTCTTTCTTTGGATAACTATGTACTAACCATCCTGAAGATCCAAGTTATTCTTAATGACTTCGCTTCCTCTGGAAACTTACTATTCTGCCTTCACCCCCATGCAGCATGAACATGAAAAATATGGTGGATAAATGAATACACTATAAATAAAGAAATGAATGAATAGTACTACTGAACTTTCCTCAAGGAACTCAGATTCTAATAGATCATGGTGAATACAAGTACATTACTTTGCCCTACCACATAAATGATGAAATAGGATAGCTTTTTAAAAAGTGTGGGATATGGTAATTGTTTTCTAATAATTGAAATATTAACTAAAATCAAAGATTTACCCTCTTTTAAAAAGTTTTATTTTTAAAAGGACATATTTCTTAGCATAATCTACTGAAAATGCCAATGAACATTACTGATTCCCCAGTAGCAATCAGCATACCTTGTACCCAGATCTTGGCTTGAAATTGACATTTCTTCCTAAAAGACACTTGGAATTTTGCAGTAAATGGTTAATTTCTCATGTGTGGCAAGAAATTACATGTTGAGCCAGCAGTATGTTGTGTCTATAAGTAAGGAAGGGCTTGAAAACTGATGGAAATATATCAAAAGTACACCAGAACCAATATGAAGAGGCCCCCTGTTGGCCAACTTGGGGACAATTAGGCACTCAAAAAATGATGATGGTAATGAATATAACACATTTAATTAAAAATAATTCATGAGTCCGTAGTCATGGTAAAACAAACAAACAAACAAAAAACACAATGCAAAAGAGAAGGGAGAGAGGGAATATTCTTTATTGAAGTATGAGTGTTGATATATCTAATAGAAATGTAGAATTAGAAAAATAATCACCATTTTGCAGTCACAAATTTTATAATTGATTTAGGCAAAGATCATGAATGGGTGCTGAAACCTTTGGGGAAAAACTTGCTAGAGTACAGAATATTTATATATTCTCAAAGTGTAACTTTTACACATTCTCAAAGTGTTACTTACTGTACTTATTAAGGACCGAGCCACAAAGTTACCTTTTTAGTAAAGAATCTAGCATACTTTACATTAACCAAGTGATCAAATCTAATATCACCAATAACATAAGAAACAAACAATACTTGCCTCCTGATGCGATGCACTGAGAAGCACCAACATCACCTATAAAATATTGTGTTAAAAATATTTAATCTGAATCTATTCATGAGGAAAGAATCAAGCAAATTCAATTGAGGGTCATTCTACAAAATAACTGGCTGGAACTTTTAAAATTTTTCAGTTAAGAGGAAGAAACTACTAGAGAGTAAAAGACAACAAGAAATATAACTACCAATGCAATACGTAGTCCTTGATTGGATTTTCAAATGGGAAAAACATAATGGATGTTATAGGGACAAATTGAGCAACTTTGAATATGTAATGCATATCAGATAATACTATTATATCAATAATATTACTTTCCTCAGTGCCTTAATGGTGTTGTGGTAAACTGGGAGAATGGCCTCGTTCTTAGGAAATTCATGTTGAAGAGGTGCATCATAACATCATCCAAATTATTCAGCCAAATTGATGTAGATAAAAATATGTAATGCAATGGATATAGATATAAAATATTTGCAGTAGTTTGACAATTGTTGCATCAAATATAGCGCATATGCATATTCATAGGATATTCTTTCCATGCTTCAATATATTTAAATTTTTCAAAATTAAAAATTGGAATAAAAATAATCTTAAGACTTCCTGAAAGAAAAAATAAAAAGAGTTAGGGAAAACCAATGTCATGAATAAGCCAAAGAATTTTCTAAAAGCAAATAAAAAACCCATGTTTAAGATTATATTTTGTTTATTTTCTCTCAGAACTAATTTCTGAGCTCTTCCTGATTGAATTTAAGTGGCTAAAATTGATTCCCTACCAGGGCAATATTCTGGCAAACCCCATAAAGTGACTTATTTGTCATGCACACTTACGGCATATTGCAAATGCACACAGACCACCTACACCCATGTGGAGAGAATTGGGCATGGTAGGGTGTAGGTAGAAAATAATTCTATTTGTTCACTCCACAGCAAACACTCATGCCTTGGATAAAATTTCAGGCATTCTTAAAATTTGTCTGATCACCATCAGTTAATGAACTATCTCTTTTCAAGTTTCTATACATCCAATCTAATATGTGTGATGTCTGAACTTCAGATTTCATTGACTTTAAATCTTCTTTCCTACTCCCATCACCTCTCCAGGCTGAGAAAGCTGAAATGGGAAGGAAAAAAGGGCATGATGAATATTTCTCTTCTTCCCCTATTCACAGCTTTTTTGACTCCTTCAGACTTAGGAAAGAAGGGAGATCTGGCAGAATATATTTTCCAAAGGTGGTCACAACTTTATATTCAATTATACAAGATGTATTTCAAGTGATTTTAACATTTTCCCACAAAGAAGTGAATTCTAAGTTCAACCAGTCAAGTCTGGAAGAAGTCATGCTGTGTGACTCTGAGACTGGGTCATAAAAGGCCATGCAACTTCTACCTGTTCCCGGAATACTCATGCTTGGAACTCTGAGCTGCCATGGATGATATCTACCTCCCATGAGGTTCCCAGGTTGTGAGAAAGTCAAACCACAGAAGAGGCCAGGTGCAGGTCTGCAAGCCCTGTTAGTCATCCTAGGCATTGAGTCACTTCAACCAAAGCTCTAGACATGTGGGTGAATGAGCCTTTAGTTGAATCCAGTCCCTAGCTGATGAATCAACTGCAGCCTTCCAGTATTTCCTGATGAGTTCCCAGATATCAGGAGACAGAGATAAGTCATCAGGACTGTTTCTTTTCTGAATTTCTCACCTTCAGAATCTGCAAACATGATGAAATAGTTGTTTAAACCTCTGTGTTTGGGGGAATACATTACAAAGCAATTGTAACTGGAACAGAGAGATAAGTAGTGTCTGTTGACTGGTTGGGCTGGAATCTGGCATTAGTGCTTCCTTTAAGTGATAGATCCTAAATTTTGGTTCTCTTTTACGGGCTTTTTGGTGGCTATTTTAGAGATAGCTCCATTCCCACTTTTCCTTGTTTTCTTAATACGAAGAATTCTCTTTGTTGGATCAGAGGTGAGTAATTCCACACTCATAAATACACCTTCTAAAGTCCCCTCAATTACTGACCTCTCTTCCTCCCTAAGTCTTCTCTTAGCCTGGAGATGGGTGTGTTGTCTTTCTTGTATTGCTATAAAGAAATACCTGAGACTGGATAATTTGTAAAGAAAAAAGGTTTAATTGGCTCATCGTTCTGCAGGCTTTACAGGACGCATGGCACTGACATGCGCTTGACTTCTGGGGAGGCCTCAGGGAGTTTTACTTATTGTAGAAGGGAAAGCAGGAGCTTGCACATTTCATGGTGGGAGCTGGAGCAAGACAGAGGAGTAGCAGGGAGGTGCCACACACTTTCAAACAACTAGATCTCAGGAGAACTCATTATCCCAAAGATAGCACCAAGCCATGAGGGATCCGCCCCCATCACCCAATCACCTCCCACCAGGCCCCACCTCCAGCAATGGGGATTATAATTCAACATGAAATTTGGGCAGGGACAAATATCCAAACTTATCAGTGGGGAATGGAATTAAGTTGGCAAAACTATTTTTGTTTGAATCCTTGCAAGTCCCAGGTAGACACCTTTGCTTCTTAGTTTTAGAACATGGGAGTACTTACAACTGATTGTTCTCAGAATTAGCTCTGAATCTCCAGGTCACAGGGAATATAATACTACAGAGAGTACTGTATTTAGGTTTAACTCCCACAGGGTACATTTGAAAATCTATATTGCTTTCTCTCTATTTTGACCAGTCTAGACAAAATCCTAATGCACTATGTGTAGACAAAATGCTAATGTACCATGATTTTGAGATATTATAATTCTGTTGCTTAACATATATTATTAATAGTTTATAAACCAACTTTCAAATATTCTTTTCATTATGAATGCTATTTTTGTGTATATTCATATATGCCAAAATTCCTAGTGTATTTTTGCTTTCAGTATTTAAATAAGGTTTTAATTTTTTAATAGTTTCAGATTTACAGAAAAGTTGTGTGTAGAGTTCTGCATACTGCACACACTTTGACGACTATTGTTAAGTTGTTATATTATTGAGGTACATTTTTCTTTCTTTTTTTTTTTTTTTTGAGACTGACTCCATTGCCCAGGCTGGAGTGCAGTGATGCTATCTCAGCTCACTGCAACCTCTGCCTCCAGGGGTCAAGCGATTATCCTGCCTCCACCTCCCTAGTAGCTGCAATTACAGGTGCACGCCACCACGCCCAGCTAATTTTTGTATTTTTAGTAGAGAGGGGGTTTCACCGTGTTGGCCAGGCTGGTCTTAAACTCCTGACCTCAAGTGATCCGCCCACTTTGGCCTTCCAAAGTGCTGGGATTACAGGCATAAGCCACCATGCCTGGCCTATTGCAGTACATTTTTCATGACTAACAAGTCAACATTGGTGCATTTTTATTATCTAAATTCCATACGTCATTTAGTTTTCATTATTATTTGCTTTTCTCTAATGCTCTTTTTTTTGGTTCCAGGTTTCCATTTAAAACCACACACTACATTCAGTCGTCATGTCTCCTTAGGCACCTCTGGGTTGTGACCGTTTTTCAGACTTTCATTGCTTTTTATGACCTTGGCAGTTTTGAGAAGTATTTGCCAGGTATTTTGTAGAATAATGGTTCTGATTGGATTTGTCTGATTTTTTTTTTCATGGTTTGACTGGAATTATGAGATTTTGGGAGGAAGACCATAGCACATTATATCAAGGGGACAAGCTAGCAAGATGACTTTTCATGGCTGATGTCAACTTTAAACATGTGAACAAGTAATTATGTAATGGCCAAATACAATATGATAAACTCTTTAGTAAAAGAAACAAATGGGCTGGGCATGGTGGCTCATGCCTGTAATCTCAGCACTTTGGGAGGCTGAGGCAGGTGGATCACCTGAGGTCAGGAGTTCGAGACCAGCCTGGCCAACAAGGTGAAACCCCGTCTCTACTAAAAATACAAAATCAGCCGGTTGTGATGGTGGGCACCTGTAATCCCAGCTACTCAGGCGGCTGAAGCAGGAGAATCACTTGAACCCGAGAGGTGGAGGTTACAGTGAGCCGAGATCATGCCACTGCACTCCAGCCTGGGTGACAGAGCGAGACTCCATCTCAAAAAAAAATTAATAAAATACAAAAATACAAAAGAAACAAATGGAGAACTTCTTATTTTATTTTATTTTATTATTTTTGAGACAGGGTCTCACTTTGTTGCCCAAGCTGAAGTGCAGTGGCGTGAACATGGTTCACTGCAGCCTTGACCTCCCAGGCTCGGGTTATCCTCCCACCTCAGCCTTCAGAGTAGCTAGAACTACAGACATGCACCACTGTGCCTGGCTATTTTTGTTGTATTTTTTGTAGAGATGGGGTTTTGCCATGTTGCCCAGGCTGGTACAAATGAAGAACTTCTGAATGATTTCTAAAATGCTGGGAGGTGAGAGAACAGAGGAAAGGAATTTTAAACTGAGTCTTGAAAGTCCAGTAGGATTTTTTTTCAATTGAAAAAAAGGGAAGTAAACTAAGACGAAAAATCATGGGCAAAGATATAGAGTTTTGAAAAGGGATGGATCCAGGGGCCCTTTCTGGAAAAAATAATACAAATTTATAAATTCAAAATTAATATATAAATGAGTATGTTTTAAAAATGAGAATACATATTACAAAAAAAATTGGAGTCTCTGAAATTTTAAATTCCTTTCTTCTGAAATCCCTTTAGGCAATTTAACAGAAATGCTTCCAAAGAAATATTTTTTAATTGCAACGTGACTTCCTGTTTATTCCTGGAACCTTCCAAAGCACCCAGAAACTTTCAGTTTTCATAGTGAGCAGCTGGATGCTTCTGTTTCACTAATTTCAGGAGCAACTGGCCTTGAGGTGTGAAATGTTTCCTGGGTTCCAGGAATTCTGAGTAACTTGATTTTCTTGGAACCCAGGCTATTCTGGATTATAGCTGGAGCTGAGCATAGACATATAGGCAAAAGGAAATCGTTAAGGATTTATATGCTAGCCAGGGAGTTGGGCTATCTTCTAGAACAGAGACTTTGAAGGATTTTATCCAATAAAGTTACATGAATAAATTTATGTTTTAGGAAGACATCTCTGGAACATTTAGAGCCACAGTAAAAGGCCACACGAATGACTTTAGTAAGTACTTATTGGGAATTATTTAAAATAGCCTGAAAATAAAAAAGATGCCTGAACATTGGGAGAAAAGAGGATCAATTAAGGAAATAACCACTTAGTAGAGAACAGGAATCTAGATCAAGGGGAAAGTATTCAATAACTGAACAAATAAAAACAGCCTTACAAATATGAATACATAATAATTATTAACTTGTATACTTATATTTTAAATATTTGTTTTATATTGATACAAATTAATATTTATTTTATATTTTACCAATACAAGAGATTTGATTTGTATTTATATTTGTATAGAGAAAGATAAATACCATGAAAGTAAGGTACAGAAGATAAGGGAACACTGGTGTAGAAAGGCTAGATTGTATCTTTCTGGCAGGAAGAAAGCAGCCCTTTAATTTGATAATGTGTTCTTTAATAAGCAGAAAATTATCTTTGAAAACAAGTAGTGAAAGATACTACATAAATATAATTATTATTCAATTTGATACATAGTATAATATCTATGTTATATCTTAATAGCATGACAACATTTATTACAGCTTACCTAGAGAAAATAAAAATTGGTTTTAGCAATTAACCTTATTCACATGTAAATGAGATTAATTAGTAGTTTTCCTTTCTAATCTTTTGGGGAAAGCAGATAATTATAATTATACTGTTTACGCAAATTGTATCCAAATATGCTAAAGGACACAATAGTTTGCAAATTAAAATTCAAATAACAAAATTTTCTAAAATTTACTTTTAGAATACTAAGATAACCAATTAGAAAATGTAAATGACATGTTACAAATAAGTACGAACCTTTCCTCAAGAGAACTGTTTATTTAATTTTACTAAGGCATTTGCTCCCCAATATGAGTTACTCAATGAGGTTTAACATGTATTTCAAATCTTTACTTGAGGTATAATAAAATGTTTGAAATTTTTCAAAATAAAAAAAAATTTAACATATTTTCTCCACAAAAACAGGTTTAATCTGAAAGACCCTCAATCTGAAGGCTAAAGGACAAGTTTTATTTCCACTTTCTGGAGAAGGGAGTGGAAACGAATTTGACATTTTTGTAAAACTAAAATAAGAATTTTGATGTTCTGATTTCTGATTCGTTATTCATTCCAACACATTCGCAGAAGGGGGAAAAACCACCTCTCCCTGGTCAGGCTTTTCAGGTTCTATGCTGACTTTCTCATACTGATCTTTTTCCTGCCCTCTCTCATTTTACTGTGGGAGAAACAAAATGCACACTTCATTTGGGAAAAACGAAAAGAGAGAGCAGTTCCTCTTGACAGTTTCAGAAACCATTAGAATAAAATCCTGCCTATTCTTTAAGTGATTAGGATATGTATTTATTAATTTATTTAATGAGAAGACTTTTATTTAATATGTGCTAGGTCACAAGATCTATTAATAACATAGAACATTAAGGAAAGGGCTAGCACACAACATAGTTCTGGCCTAGAAGGAGAAGGCATGTATACAAAGAATTTACATGATATGAAAAGATTTCTTTTAGCAAAGATATACACAATGGACTGCACAAAGGCAGAAACATTTAACTTTTGGGAACAGACATGCCAAAGAACGCTTAATGGAAGGAAGAAGTATTAGAAAGCATACCGAGTAGGTTGTGTGATGTATCAACATAGAATTTCTGTAAGTGCTAGAAACCTAGTTCTGCTGTCATATATAGCTCCCTAGGAGGAGTCAGGGCTTCTGCTGTGAAGACCTGAGGTTCTTTTCTGTGGTTAAGCATAGATTAAGGAGAAAGTAGAACTGTGTGCAAGATCTCTGTAGAGTGCCAAGTGCATCAGGGTAAGATAATGGTGGAGGACCAAGGCTTACTGAGACTTAGTATAGCAAAAGGAACTATGACAATGGTCAATGATTGTGCTCATATGTGATCATAGCCTGTGTAGTGTAAGAAACAACAATAATGTTTAACAATGATTATGGGTATTATCTAAGGATTTAGAAATATCATTTGATGTAAAGGAGTGGATGGGGATACTGAATGACCTGCCAGCCAGAGATGTGGCCAATTAGAGGCAAGTTCTATTTGATTAAAGATGCATGCCCAGGGTAAATACATTTTGAGTCTTCACTCAAGATAACCAGGAAATCAATAATTCTTGTGCAGCCCATACTTCCATGGTTATATGATTATAACCCTGTTGAGGCACTGGTGTGCAAGGGTAGGAGCAGTATCTTAAACGTCTGTCTTTATTTGAAGATTATCCATTGACTATGATACAGTTGCATTGGAAGGGATTCTACAAAATACTTAAAACCCCAATGCAGAAAGAATGCTTGGCAGAAGTTCAGGATTGAGGAGAGATTCAATGAAGCCTTATTAGCTGAAGTGCTCAATTCTTCAGCATACCTATGAGGATACTGAGATAGGAGGACTTCTAAAGATGATTTTTATGACCCCTATGTCAGACACCAAATTCCCAAACTACTGACTTTGTTCCTGGAGAGGGCAATACACAGGGTCTGCAAATGGAATATGAAAGAACTTCTGTTGCTCCAAGCATATAGACAAGCCACCTGAGACACAGGCTGATGTTCTGGATCAAGTGGCATGAAATGTATGGAAGGCTATTCTTCTTGTAATGGAAAAGACAAATTGCCGGAAACTGAGTATGCTGGGATGGAGGTATTTGATCTTTGGCTACAACATTTTACTAAATTGTGCTTCAATTTCATGTGTTAGAAGCTGAGGAATGCTAATGGTTTATGGACACTCTTACAGGCTCTGACTGTGAGGCAGTTTCTTTACTCAAAGGGGATGAGGTTTCACTGACAGAGGTGTTGCAATGCAGCAGAACTAGTCTTCAAATTTTGTTTCAAGAGACTAATCTCTATTGTTTCAATTCACAACAAAATGATCCTGAGTTTTATTCTAAATCTTAAGGCAAGATTTTTATACAGCATATCACTCAAAGATATCAAATGCTATCAAAATCAACTGATACAGTTTTACTGTGTCCCCATCCAAATCTTATCTTGAATTGTAGCTCCCATAATTCCTATATGTTGTGGGAGGGACCCAGTGGGAGATAATTGAATCATGGGGGTGGGCTTCCCCCAGTACTGTTCTCCTGGGAGTGAATAAGTCTCATGATATCTGATGGTTTTATAAGGGATTTCCTTTTTCGTCTGGCTCTCATTCTCTCTCTTTGCCTGCTGCCATGTAAGACATGCCTTTTGCCTTCCACTATGATTGTGAGGCCTCCCCAGCCACGTGGAACTGTGAGTCCATTAAACTTCCTTTTCTTTATAAATTACTCAGTCTTGGGTATGTCTTTATCAGCGCGTGAAAACGAACTAATACATCAGCCATCATATTCATGGTTCTGGTGTTTTTCCTTCTTTTTAAATTTATGTCAGAAGCTACACATCCCCCAAGATCTGCACCCAACCCCAGCAGCCTACAGATAACTGAGGGCAGCTTTCACCACTGAGAAGCATGGGCAGCTTCTTTGCTGTTTTCCAATGTCTATAAAAGTCTTATAATTTTGGCCTGATGACCAGATCCAAATTCTGCACATTTCTCTGTTTTTGGTGTCTGTAACTCAATCCCTGGTCCCAATTTCCATTTACTATTTTTTAGGACAAAAATATCAGAAACTTACTCTAATAAGCTTCTCATAAAAGTGATTGACTGGTGGCTCACCAAAATTGAACAAAGAGATGAACCACCGAGTCTCAGGGTATACAGGACAATTGCAGTTTTGAGGATCTCAGAGCAAGTATTTATAACTTTTTCTTTTTTAGGACTTGCTTTCAGATGACATGAGATAATATTAAAATTAAATTTCCTGGGAGAAAATAACAGATTAGTCTTACTTGGGTCACTCTATCTTTAAGGCCTGAAGCTTGGGTTTTTATCTGAAGAACAGGGGGAGGAGTAGGTGGGCTGGGCTAAAAAAAAATCAGTAGTCACTTTAACCCATCATGCTTCCCTGCATGCCTCAAGGTAATTCTAGTAATCTGTCTTGGACATGTACTTAAAATTATTTGTTATTGTCTGAACGTTGGTCTCCCAGCAAAATTCATCTATTGAAACCTAATACCCAATGTGATATTATTAAGAGGGAGGGCCTTTAAAAAGTAATTAAGTTATGAAGTCTCTGCCCTCATGAATGGGATTAGTGTCCTTACATGAGAGGTTGAAGGGAGTTGCCTCACCCCTTCCACCATCTGAGGACAACAGAAGGTGCCATTTGTGAGGAATAGTTCCTCACCAAACACTGAATCTGCTAGTGCCTTGATTTTGGACTTCCCAGCCTCGAGAACTGTTAAGAAATAAATTTCTATTCTTATAAAGGTACTTGTTATAGTAGCCCAGATGGACTAAGACAATTATTCTTCCAATAATAGCAATGAATATTTATGTGACATACAATTTTGTGGGCTATACTCTTTAATAATTGGAAAAAAAAAATATATATATATATATGATAAATAAAGGCCCCATGCATACCATCAGTTATGGGAAAATGTATAGTTAACTGGCTCGTATTTAAGTAAAAAATGCATGATTTTGGACTCATTCTGGCTGCTGCTGCTGTGAATTATAATGATGGTAATAGTTTCAGCAGTTCCTAATTGTGTGGCTTTGCACAAGTTACTTAATCTTTCTGACCTAATATCTTCCTTTGTAAAGTGGAAATAACTATTGTAAATTGTAGACTATCATATATGCAATAACCATTATATAAAACATATAAATTATGTTTCTAAAATCGTGCTCAATGATTGGTAGATGTCATTTCTTTAGACTAACAATGGATTCCCTGTTCTCTGCTTTCTTGGATTCATGGAATTCTCAACAAAAATTTTTCAGACACCATTTCTGAATCTGGCAACTCTAAACCTGAACTCCGCATATCAGAATTGCCTACCTTCAGTGTTATATCCCACAGGAAGATTACATCATTTGAAGTGATACTGCAGAAGGTACCTCATTATTTATGCATATTATGAATTATTCTTGGATAATTGCTACACATGTATTTAAAGTGGAAGTATTTTCAAAATTATATTTCTACATCAAAACAAGACATAAACTCTATAATATTCATTAAGTAAAAATGGTGATAGGAATATTTATTACTGAGAAAATTCTTATGGCATAATTTATGGTGCTTTATTTATTAAAGAACCTGAATTTCTAATTGATTTTCCCTAAAGCATGGGTGTAATGTAAATAACTGTATTACATGTTTATATGTTTGTTCATATGTTACTTGTAATATTTATAAGTTAACTGTTGGCATCAAGACTATTTTTATTGTAAGCTCTTAAAGGTCAAGTGGTCTTGTTTAATTTCATACATACTACTCTAGTTGAATATCATTGTATTAGTTATCTGGCTGTATTAGTTTACTAGGGCTGCATACCAAAATACAAGCCACTGGGTGGCTTAAACAGCAGAAATGTATTTTATGACAGTTCTGGAAGTCCAACCTGAGGGTGTTGGTAGGTTTGGCCTCTCCTGAGACTTCTCTTCTTGGCTTTCAGGTGTCACCTTTTTTCTGTGTCCTCACGTGGCTTCGCCTCTGTGTATGAGCACTCCTGATGTGTCTCTCTCTTTTTAAAAGGGCATCACTCAGGTTGGTTTAGGACTCAGTCTACTGGCCTCATTATAACTTAATCATCTCTTTAAAGGTCCTATCTTCAAATACAGTCACATTCCGAGGTACCAGGGGATACATATAAATTAGGGGGAGATAGAATTCAGCCAAAGCAATGGCTAAGAACATCAATCATTATTATCTCTCAAGGTTGGTGTGAGTTGGGAATTCGACAAGGCACAGTGGGCACTGATATCTCAAATTTCACATTGTCTAGGAACTCAGTTAGGGTCTGGAAGGCTGGAAGATGGAAACACCTGAAGGCTCATTTATTCCTCGTCCAGCTGTTGATGCTGGCTTTCCACTGAGACCTTAGCTGGAGCTGTTGCCTGGACACCTCCATGTGGCCTATGCTTCCTTATAACATGGTCTCTGGGTCCTAGCATCCCAAGAGAGAAAGAGACAGACAAAGCCAGGCAGAAGCTATATTGCATTTAATTACCTAGCCTCAGAAGGCACATGGCAATACTTCCATGGTATATTATTGGTCGAGACAGTTACAAATATCTGCCCAGATTTAAGGGGAGGGAACATAGCCCTTAACTCTCAGTGGGAAAAAATGCCAATCTTATTATAAGAATGGCATGTGAAATGGGATTTTATATATATATAAATATATATATACATATATAAATATATATATACATATATAAATATATATATACACATATACACACGTAAACACACATAAATATGTGTGTAACATATTAGTTCTATAATTTATATATAATGTATAGCAATATTACATATATTGTATATATGTATGTATATTTGTGTGGCTATCTGTGGAAAATACAATCTATCATAGTCACATGGAGCTATTCATTTTAAAATATATAGTATTTACACAACTCTTGCAGTAGATGTTGTCTTCTCAATATCATTTTCTGCCTGTTACTTCATCCACATCATGGAGGAAGGCTCCATCAAGACTTCTTCCATGTAAGTAAAATGAGACTCTGCTGGGTCCCCTTTGATTGGGTGAAGGGTTAGTACTTGACGTAAAATCAGACTGTAGTTTGCTTTCTTTTTTCCCTTGGACTTACAGTTAATCTTCTGGAATTTGGAGGCCTGAAGGCATCAATTTATAGAGTGGGTGAAGGTATAAGATATTGTAATGGGTTGAATTTTGTCCCCTCCAGATTCTTGTGTTGAAATCATAATGCCCCGTTATGTTTGAATTTGACTTTCCTTTAAATAGTGCAGATGTAATTATTCATGTTGAGATGAGGTCATATTGGAGTAGGGTTGATTGTTAATTCCATGTTGCTTGTGTCCTCATGAAAAGGGGAAATTTGATGAAATTGATCTTTGCTTACACTATATGCAAAAGTCAATTCATAATGGATTAAAGATTTAAGTGTAAGACCTGAAAACATAAAACTCCTAGAAGAAAACAGAGGAGAAACTTCATGACATTGGACTTGGCAATTATATTTTGGAAATGAAGCCAAAGTACAGGTAATACATAAATAAATAAATAGGCAAACTACATCAAACTGAAAAGATTTTGCACAGCAAAGGAAACAATCAAGAAATTTCTTAAAGACAACCTATGAAATGGAAAAAAAATTTACAAATCATGTATCTAAAAAGGAATTGATATCCAAAATATACAAGAAACTCATAAATAAATAAACTACATGAAACTAAAAAGATTTGGCACAACAAAGGAAACAATCAACAAATTAAAAGGTAATCTATGAAATGGGAAAGAATATTTACAAATCACATATCTAACCAGCGGTTAATATCAAAAATATATTAGGAACTCATACAACTCAAAAACATAAACAAGATAACCCACTTAAAAATGGGCACAAATCTGAACAGACATTTCTCAAATGAATGCATACGAGTGGCCAATAGATACATGAAAACGTGCTCAATATCGCTAATCATAATGAAAATGCAAATTAAACTCACAATATGATACTACCCCACATCTGTTTGCATGGCTATTATCAAAAAGTCAAAAGATAACAAGTAATGGTGAGGATATGGAGAAAAGGGAAACCCTATATGTTTTTGGTGGGAGTGTAGATTGGTACAACTATTATGAAAATTCTATGATGTTTCCTCAAAAATTAAAAAATATAATAATCCAGCAATCCCACTAATGAATATTTACTCAAAGGAGATAAAACCAGTATCTTGAAGAGATATCTGCACTCTTATGCTCATTTCAGCATTATTCACAGTAGTAAAAATATAGAAACAACTAAGTATCCACTGAGTGATGAATACACACAAAATTTTTGCATATACAGTCATGCACTGCACACCAGTGTTTCTGTCAGTGATAGACTGCAGATACAAAGATAGTCCAGAAAGATTCTAATCTATGGAGCCAAAATATTTCCATCACCCAGTGATATCTTGATGATACTCATCCTGTGTAGGCCTAAGCTGATGTGTGTGTTTGTGTCTTAGTTTTTAACAAGAAAGTTTAAAAAGTAAAAAAATTAAAAACTAAAAATTGTAAAATAGAAAAAGTATATAAAGAAAGAAAATATTTTTGTACAGCTATTCAATGTGTTTGTATTTTAAGCTGTTGTTACAAAGTGCTGAAAAGTCAAATAATATCTAAAAAGTTTATAATGAAAAGAAGTTCATTATAAGAATAAAGTTATACTAAGGTTAATTATTGTTGAATAATAATAGCTAAGTTTAATTTATTATTGAAAGAAGAAATTAAAAAAAATGTAAACTGTAATATCCTAGGCCTTTACATTCACTCGCCACTCACTGACTCACCCAGAGCAACTTCCAGTCTTGCAAGCTACATTCATGGCCCGTGCCCTAAACAAGTGGGCCCTTTTTAATGTTTTATGCTGTATTTGTACTATGCCTTTTCTATGTTTAATTATGTTTAGATACGCAAATACCATTGTTTTACAATTGCCTACACTATTTCAGTACTGTAACATGCTGTATAGGTTTGTAGCCTAAGAACAAGTGGCTATACCACATAGCCTAGGTGTGTAGTATGCTATACCATCTGGTTGTGGAGGTCTACTCTATCATGTTCACACAATGATGAAGCTACCTAAACATGCATTTTTTGGAAAGCTCCCCGTCATTAAATGATGCACCACTGTAGATATGCAATGGAGCACTCACTATTCAGCCTTATAAAAGAAGGAAATCCTGCCATTTGTGATGACACAGATGAATCTAGAAGATGTTATGTTAACTAAGTAAAATAAGCCAAATACAAACAGACAAATATTGCATGATCCCATTTTTATGCGATATCTAAAAAAGTCAAACTCATGTGAACAAAGAGAAAAACGTTAGTTACCAGGGGTGAGGGGTGAGAAAAATAAGGAAATGTTGGTCAAACATTTTGCAGTTATAAGATAAATAAGTTCTGGAGACCTCATGTACACACGTTGACTATAGTTGTTAAGAATTTACTGTATATTTGAAGTTTGCTAAGAGAATAGATCTTAAGTATTACCACCACACACACACAAAATGGTAACTATATGAGGTGGTAGATATGCCAGTTAGATGGATTATGGTAATCACTTCACAGTGTGTACGTCTATTCAAGACATTACATCGTATATCTTAAATATGTATACATAATTTTTATTTGTCAATTATATTACAATAAAACTACGGGAAAAAACAACGGAATTCAACAAAGCCTGAAGTTTCAGTGAAAAAAATTTTTTTAATATAAAGGGGAAATTTGGACACAGAAAATGCCTTACCATGTGAGGAATGGAGTTATTTATGTTGCAACAAGCCAAGGAACTATCAGAAGCTCAGAGAGACAGGCCAGAAATAGATCCTTCCCCAGTGCCTTCAGAGGGAGCATGGCCCTGCCAACACATTGATCTCAGACTTCTGGCCTCCAGAACTGCGAGACAATAAAATTCTTTCTTAAAAAGCTTTCTGGTTTGTGGTACATTGTTATAGTCGCCCTAGGAAACTATTACAGACGTGACACTTGAGACACACTGGTAACCCTGCTTTTCCTGGGTGGGAAAAGCAGACAAGTACCTGAAAAAGCTGGAGAAAAAGTCCTGGTGGCATTCAAGAATCCCATTCTGGTTGTTCTCGAGGGAATGTATATTTCCTTGCCCTTCAGGTTGTCACGTTACCTTTAAAACAAATCATTTTTCTTAAATATGAAAGGTAAAGTTAGAGTTCTGTCTTTTGCAAGTAAAACAGTCCTAATATAGATATTTTGCATTTTTCAATTATTTTGATACAATTTGATTTGTGTTATTTGAAAAATTGATATCATCCCCAAAATAGTTTTTAGCTGGATATGGTGGCTCATGATTGTAATCTCAGTACTTTGGGAGGCCAAGGCAGGAGGATCCCTAGAGGCCAGTTCAAGACCAGCCTGGGTAACATAGCGAGACCCCATTTCTACAAAAAAAATTTTAAAATTAGCTGAGAGTGGTAGTGCCTGCCCTGTATTCCCAACTACTTGGGAGGCTGAGGTGGGAGGATCACTTGAGCTCAGGAGTTGGAGGCTGGAGTAAGCTATGATCTTGCCACTGCACTCCAGCCTGGGCTACAGAGTAAAACCCTGTCTCTGAAAAAAAAAAAAAATAGTTTTATGTCTTCCAATAGGAAAAACGACTTAGTTTTCATGCATAGATAAACTGTTCTACATATGTCACCAGGACCCCCTAGCAGCCCTGCTTGTGTGCAGAGTCTCACAAAAAAAAAAATTTCTATCATCTTTGACTCTAATAATGGTTCAAAGCCATTTGAAGGCATCAAACTGGTAATAGCCACTGTACCATCAATTCATTCCCCTTCTCCACTTTTCCTCCCTTTCTCCTTCCTCTCTTTTAAAATATAATTTCCCGTATATATCAATAAATAGAGGTGTGTGTGTGTGTGTGTGTGTGTGTGTGTGTGTGCATATCTATGTGTCTGGGGAAACAGTGCCTTAATGCTAGCTTCTAGGCTAAGCACCAAATATCTGGTTATATATTTTATAATATAATCTTAACAATGAAAAACCTTAACTAGTTTGGAAACAAAAAATTTACACAAAGAAGCTGGTAAGTATTTAAAACATATACATATAATCGTAAGTAAATATGATACATGGTGTAATCCTTAGGGTAGAAGTTACCAGTATAATTATTTTTAATTATTAAATGCCCATTTTAGTCAAAAATAAAATAATTGGCTGGAATTATAAAAAATTTGATTTTCATTAGAACTACACCAAATATATAATTAAAATAGTGATATTTTACAACTTTGAGATATATATATACACACATATATAGGTATTGAATTTTTATGTATGTTTTATCAACGATATATAAAACACATAGAAGAAATAATAACATAACATATATAAGAAAGAGAATTCTTATTATTCGGAATTCTCTTATTTTATTATTTCTTGTATATGTTATGGAGACTGAATTCTGAATTTGCTTATTATTTCTTGAATATAAATTCTCTTATTCTGAATCTCTTCTTTTTTCTTGTGTATGTTATGGAGACTTGAATTTTCCAGTTAGATTAACAATCTAATCATAACATACATTTGTTCATTCATTTAACAGAGTTTTATTTAGCATTTATGTGGTATGAGGTATGGTCGTAGGTCTGAGCACAAAACACTTAGGGTCACAGACAAATAAATATCCCTTTCCTTATGGAGTTCAGGTCTAGTGGGAAGAAATGCAATATAAAGAAACAAAGTAGAAATGAGAGAAATAGAAGAAAAAAGGCAGAGAGATGAATTTCCTACAAATAAAGATATTTTCCTGTTTTCTTTACTTCTGCTCTCAATTTTTCTCTCATCAAATTTCATTGGCTAATTATGTCCCAAATCACATCAGATAGTACTTTTAATGATGGGAATTCTTGATTTTTTATTAATGTTAATGAAGTATGAGATTAGCTGTTTGTTTGAGATACATGTTTTTTATCATTTTAGAATAAAATATTTCTATATTTCTGCCTCTTTTAATGAGTATTTATTTATTTTTATAGTACTGTGTGAGTGTTCTGGTACCATTATGCTTTGCCTGAGTGCAGAGAAAGGCATGAGTTTATGGCTTGCTCCCTAGAAGCGTGAAAAACCAATACTCTTTGTTTATGCTATAACTGTCAGTTAACAACTTACTGAGACAACTTTAGGAATTCCAGCAATAACAAATTACTGAATGCTTATGAGTTGTACTTTTCTGCTTACTTCCATAAAAAACCCACTAAAAATTTTAAAATGTGTGTGTAGAGAAGAAATGTAAACATTATACATGCACACTGCATTGAGGAAGAATGAAGTTGATCCAAAACTCAAAGGATATTAATTACTTTGACAAATATCTATTGGATGCCTACTACATGCCAACTGGTCTCTGTTCTAGGCATCTGTTGTACATCAGGAAAAAAAAAAAAAAACAGACAGAAATCCTTGTCCTAATACTGCTCCATTCAGGTAAGAGAGACAAATAGTAACACTTAAATTTCATAGAAGTGGGAATACTCAACTCTAATATGGCACAATAATCTTCTGTCTTGAAAATGTAACAATATATTAATTTCCTTATTTTTAAAACCCAAAGAACGGTTTACTACATGCTGCATTGACTTGATCTCCCAGATTAAACCTGGGCAGACTTTCTGATCACATTCTAATTATTCTATAGAAAATAAGAGTTCTACTTAAAACAAAAACAAAAACAAAAAAGAACACCTCTAGGTTAGATGTTAGAAATGTAATTTGTTTTCAGAAGACTGAATTTTCTAGTAATTGTTTAAATTCTAAAATTCACTTGACTGTTGAGGAAACACTAAAAACGCTCCTAACATTGTTAACATTTTCTGCCTCACAGCCCAAGACTGAAGCTCATGTTCATATCTGGGATAAGATGCTCAATTTTTTTCCCAATTAATTTTTTATTTGAACATTTCCTTAGCTTTATTTACAGAATATTTATTTATCAGTCACATAACTGAAGTTGTACTTTTCTACAACCTTTTAAAAAGTGTTTTTTATGTTTTTTCTTTGAAAAAAAAAACGACCCTAATTCTAGTTGTTCTGGAGGAAATGTTTTGTAGATAAGTAACACCACATTATTATAAGGATGTACCTTTAACCTGTCATGTTGACACTAGAATATATATTTTTCTTATGGAACTTTGTGCATGTTATTTGGTTTACATTATTTTCATCTCCCTCTACTATGTCCTTGCAGGTATTATGGTGTCAAATAGCTTCTTTATTAAATTGTATATTTGTAGACCTGAGAGTTGAAATTTTCTAATAACAAATACTGTGTTTGGCATAAGATGCTTTGGGCTTTTTTGTTAGGGATTAGAAATTCAGTTTCTTCTTCTCTGGAATGGAAGATTATAACTGGTATTACATATTTTGAATACTATCTTTTTATTCCAGGAAAACAAAATCCTAATTCTTGTTTAAAGTGTTGTATACATTACTTTTGCACACATTATAGTACCTTTGATAGGCCATTTACATATTATTAACTTCTGGGTAGGATTTCTTTGAAAGTAGTGATTTACTATTACATTAGAATTTTGCATTAGTGAAGAGTCAAGGAATACTATGTCCTTGCAATGTCTCTCAGGCATATATAGCTCTTCTTAGGAAAGGGACTTGGAGCTGGAGCGGGAAGCTGAGTGGGTTGGGAGAATGGGAAAAGGCTTTAAAGATAAAGATTAAGGCTTTAAAGAATATAATATAGGGAATATTATTTTTTATTTAGATTGTTCTTTCTCTTCTTCATTTTCACTGAGTCTACATTTCTCCAATATGTAATAGTATATGCTTCCAGAGTTTGACTGAATCTGAGCTTAGATTCCCTAATATGTGTACTGTAGTTTAGATAAGTAATTTTTTTTCCAAGTTTTAATTTGATGTTCTTACCAGAGTTGCTTTACAACATTTTCTCTTTTCAAACTTTGAAGAGTAAGTAGATGCCTATTTCATATGGCTCACCTTTTGTGTTGCCATCTTGGAAACAGCTCTTCCTCAATCCCCATTGATTCAAGGAAGCTGCTACGTTGGGGTCCAGGTGGCTATAGCTCTGGGATCAAAGATTTCACCCTAGTGTGACTACTCTTGTAAACAGAGAACATATTGTATTAGTCCATTTTCACATTGCTGATAAAGACATACCCGAGACTGGGTAATTTACAAAGAAAATGAGGTTTAATGGACTTAGTTCCACATGGCTGGGAGGCCTCACAATCATGGTGGAAGGCAAAAGGCACATCTTACACAGTGGCAGACAAGAAAGAACAAGAACCAGAGCCAAGCGAAAGGGGGAACCCCTTGTAAAACCATCAGGTCCTGTATGACTTATTCACTACCAAGAGTGGTAGTGAATGGGGGAAGATGGGGGAAACTGCTGCCATCATTCAATTACCTCCCACCAGGTCCATCCCACAACATGTGGGAATTATGGGAGCTACAATTCAAGATGAGATTTATGTGGGGACACAGCCAAACTATATCACATATACACTTGGGGGCAGTTTGTAGTGGCAATTTTCCATCACGACCTTTGGGAAGTGGAGCACATCATTCTGCTGTGGAGAGGTTAATGGAGAATATGCACAGAGAGAGACAGAGCAAGGGGGGTGAATCCAGGTGTTTGAGTCTAGCATCAGTTTGTTTTGAGTCCCAGCTGCATCCTTTTTTTCTGTTTTCATGAGCTCATTATTGTCTTTTCAGTATAGTTTATATTTTTGCCGAAGCTGGTTTTCTCAGTGTTTCTGCCAATCCCAAGTACCCAATTTTTCTTCGTATTTTGTTGAGAAACCTCTAGGTATCTATTTTTAGCCTTCAGTTAGAACACCTTTAAGTATCATTCATAATGGTATGTTCTTTATTATCTTTATAATACAGTTCCCAAAGTAGGAATATTGTTCTTTACACAGGTTATAGATACAATTTAATGATTTTTAAATTCATAATTATTTAGCTAATGTAAAATATGACCACGTTTACCCATTCCACCAAGTACTTCTTTTGGCATTGAAAACAAATTTGGAGACTGCAAAGGGAACAGGAACAAGATATTACAATATGAAAACCCAGTTCAGAACAAGCATGATAAGACTATTTTGATACTGAAAATCTTGAGTCATCTACATTGAATAAAAATAAGAAAAGGATATGGAAATGCTTACACTTTAATACTATAAACTTGTTTTTCAATGCTATCAAGATAATAGTTTTATAAGAAATCTGATTAATGTAAGAAATGATTTTAATTCCATCAAACTTATTTCAAATAGTTGAACTATTCTTGATCTGTTCTCATCACAATTAGTCTTTCTTAGCAAATTTCTGTATACAATGGAAAACTATGAAATTGTGCAGTTTTTGTTTCACTGATGTTCTGAAGTTACAGATAACACAGTGATGAGTAACTGGAGGTACTTAACTAGATAATGTACCCATCTCTGCTTCCCAAGCTGATGAGCTATATGCAGTTTCAGGTTCTGAGTCTAATTGCTTTACAGTTCTTATAATGGGCTGAATTGCAATATGAATTCAGCAAATTCTTACAGTTCCCTTGAGAGGTTTTTGAGAAAGCCACAGTATATAGAAATTGACTCATTTTCCACTGTGAGGCTGATTGTGATATGTTATGAAAGCTGATGTGTAGTCAGCAAGTCAGGCAGGTCTGAATCATGATTTTTCTTTTTTTTTTTTTTTAAGATGATTTTGCAATCTCCTCACTTACTTCCCCTAGACCTTTCTACTAACTGACAATGTGGTATAAAGAACCCTTGACTGGCATTAGACAACCTGTGTTTGACTGGCTCTGCCCCTCTGCCTATATAACCTTGGATGAGCCGTTGAGCTTATTTCCTCATCTATAAATTGAAGATGAGAATCCCCCATCACACAGAATTGTTGTAAGGATTAAGTGAAATGTAGCTGGTATGAAATTCGCTGCAGAATGGGGGATAATTTCTGACACTGCTGTTATTTTCCCAACAGAGGATAATAAATAAATCAATTGCTAATGGTTGAAAGCGTGAAATCTGGACAAACTGCCTGGGATTGAATACTGTCTCTATCACCTCCCAGGAGCCTAACTTTTGGCATAGTATTCTGCCTGTCTGTGCCTCACTTTACTCATCTAAGAATTGGATATAAAAATAGCACTGCCTCATACAATTTCGAGAATTAAATGAGTTCATATTCATAAAGCACTTGAAAGTATCTATATGTAGTAATGCTGTACTGTATTTGTTAAGTAAATAAACAAGCTACCAGCTAAATAAGTAAAGGGGCTATTTGCCCTCCCTCAACTGATTCAGGGAAATCCAAAATTCTGAAGTTGACATTGAAGCATGGAGCACTCATCTGCAGTAGTAGTCATTCCTTCTCCTGACTTCAAGCAGCCTCCTAGGAGGAGGTGCCATCCAGAGCCCTGTCAGACAGCTTGAGTCTTTTGGGGAAGTGTAATCCCACTCCCCATGAGTTGTCTTCAGCCAAGGATGTTCTTAAGCTTAGCCCTTCAGTTCCACAAGCATTAATCTTTGAGAACCCCAGCTTCCCAAAGGACTGCTGGGCCCAAACTAGGAACAATGTTCCTTCACTTACTGACCAGGAAGCCCTGCCCCTTTGCCTTCTCTAGAGTTCAAATTTCCAGGCCAGAGAAGCTTTTCCTTTTGAACCATCTCAGCACAAAAGGACTGATTGCTCCTCTCCCCACCCCTCCCTCTCCTGGATGAGGGGCTGCTCTTTCTAACCCTGCCGTGCTTGGTCATCCTTCTTTGAGCACAAAGGGGTTCATTATATTCTCTTTCATGGCAAGACATAGCCTATATGTTTACTTACAGTACTTCCAGGGACTGGAACCTGTGAATTCAGGTGGCAGTGGTTTGGGGAGCGTACTTGGCTGGTTAGTCCTAAGTTTGAAGTGGGGGTAATAAATAGAGAGACTGGTAGGTGGTGACCAAGTCCTGACTATTCTGGGCTTATTGCTGTAGAGGTTGCAATTTGTCTTCCTGGACTGGTTGCTGCAGAGGTTGTGGGTCAGAGTTGTATTGCCATGCATGGTCTGGCCATGGTCTGTTTGTACAGGCAGTCTTTCAGTAGTTTTCATGTTACACCTTATTTTGGCCATACATACACATAATACAAGTCCATCAAATGCAACATGTTCAAATTAAGCTACTCATTTTCATTCAATTAATTTTCTATGCATCTGCTAAAACTGCATGAATCTGAGGGTCAATCTGTGTCTCCTAACTGTTTTACTACCCATATCTAATCAACCACCAGTTCCTATCAATTTCACTTCTTTAATCTTTCTCCAGTCTGCACCCTTTTGTCTGCTCCAATAGTTACTGTCTATGATCCAAATATTCATAATTTCTCCTCGATTTTTTTACACATTACAGCACTCTTAGCAACTTTCATTCTCTTCTAATACATTCTTTATATTTCTGGTAGAGTCACCTTTTTGATATGCGAGCCCCTGCATGACTATAAATTAAAGTCCAAAATCCTTACCATGGCTTAACAGTTTATTCACAACCTGATCCCTGACCAGTTCTCCAGCTTCATCTCTCCCTATTCTCCAATCCTACAAATACACTCCATCATAATGAGAACATTCAGTTCTCCACTTATGTCACTATTTTTCTTCTATGCCTTTACATGGTGCACGCACTATTTTCAACTATTGCCCTCACTTCTTCTTACCTTCCTCGTGCACAGATTTTGTTTGGATAAATTGTACTCCTTCTTGAAGGCTCAGCAGAGGTATCATCTCCTCTGTTGAGCCTTCCACAATTTTCCCCAGCCTAATGAGATTACCCTCATATGTGCTACCATAGCAACGTGTACAGACATCTATCACAGTACTTATTGTATCATACTTTCTGTTTATTTGACCATGTTCTACAGAATATTAATATCTGTAGAACAGAGATGATTTTTAATAAAATTGTCTGTTTAACCACAGTGTCTGGCATATAGGAGGTGCTGAATATGTTTTGTTAAAATTGTAAAGTAACAAAGTTACAATTAATTGCTGATAAATCTTTGCACAAATAAGTGCAGCTTTGATTTCCATCCCCTTTTTGTGTGTACCTTTCTTCAGAGGACAGCTTTTTCTTTTTTTTTAAATTATACTTTAAGTTCTAGGGTACATGTGCACAAAGTGCAGGTTTGTCACATAGGTATACATGTGCCATGTTGGCTTGCTGCACCCATCAACTCATCATTTACATTACGTATTTCTCCTAATGCTATCCCTCCCCCAGCCCCCCACCTCCTGACAGGCCCCGGTGTGTGATGTTCCCCTCCATGTGTCCATGTGTTCTCATTGTTCAATTCCCACCTATGAGTGAGAACATGTGGTGTTTGGTTTTCTGTCCTTGTGATAGTTTGCTGAGAATGATGGTTTCCAGCTTCATCCATGTGCGTGCAAAGGACATGAACTCATCTTTTTTAAGGCTGCATAGTATTCCATGGTGTATATGTGCCACATTTTCTTAATCCAGTCTATCACTGATGGACATTTGGGTTGGTTCCAAGTCTTTGATATTGTGAATAGTGCTGCAATAAACATACATGTGCATGTGTCTTTATAATAGCATATTTTATAATCCTTTGGGTATATACCCAGTAATAGGATCGCTGGGTCAAATGGTATTTCTAGTTCTAGATCCTTGAAGAATCGCCACACTGTCTTCCACAATGGTTGAACTAATTTACACCCCCACCAACAGTGTAAAAGCATTCCTATTTCTCCACATCCTCCACATTCTAACTGGCATGAGATGGTATCTCATTGTGGTTTTGATTTGCATTTCTCTGGTGACCAGTGATGATGAGCATTTTTTCAGGTGTCTGGTGGCTGCATAAATGAGAAGACAGCTTTTTCTAAATGGGGTGAATAAGCAGGAGGTTCAGTCTTTCTCTCTGGCACTTCGCCTTAGTGCTTAGAACTTGTGGTTCCTCTTCACTCTTTCCAGCATCACTGCATGCTGACCACTTGCTAGTAGGCAACTCTCACACCAAGCAATAGATCTCCTGAAATACATCTTTCTTCTCTGCAGGAGAGCGGAAAACGGAAGAAAGTGGAACCCGCTTCATTTCTCTTACCAGTTTGCCTCTTTATCGATAGAGTAACAATTTGAGAATGAAGAGTTAAAGTTCTTGACAACTTGAACTTTCCCCAAGCTCCCAATGGGAAATCATCCAAGGACAAGGAAGCATTATGGAGATGTCTAACCCACCCCTCCTCAGCTTCTCAGTCTTCCCCCAAGCCCCACCCGCCAAAGTTCTCTTTGTGAATCTCTATGCACGGGAAACTCATCCCAGTCTCTGGACAGGATCTTGGTCCTCAGACCTAATACTTCACACTAGCATTTCATTATTTCTAAATATGGTGTTTAGGAGGCAGACAGCCCTTGGTAATTTTATGTAGGCTTTTTTGCACAACCGTGTTTGGAGGCTTCCACTGAGATGCCTCTCAGGAATACTCCAGCTACAAATCAGAGAGGGGTGCTTTCCCATGACATGCATTCTGGAAATTGTACATCTTTTTAAATATTCTAACAGGCATGATAATAGGTACAACTCCTTGCTTATCTATTGAGTCTATTATGTTAGTTAGGGGAGTCCAAGTGCAGCACTTTTCCCAAGGCCAGTCATCACTTTTCTTTTAAAAAAAGAAGGGAGGTAATATTTAACCCTGTGTTAAGATAGAAACATTCCCATAAACAGCAAAGTATTGCCATTGTGTACAACAGCCTCTAATTCCTTTTTCACTCTGCAAAGGAGCTGTGTTGCCCTATAATGAAAGTTTCTATTGTCCTAAAAAAGGCTTTTAACATTTGGATAAGAAATATATTTCTTATTAGAGTAGGATGAAATTATTTAGTTCTCCTATGTGGGGATGTGGTTGGGTGAGGAGTGAGTCATGCTGGTGGTGGTAATTCATCTTGTTCCGCCTGTGTGATGCTTACGGTCAGACTCTAGATAACACAATATTGCTATGTTTTAATAACCTCTAGTTGTACTCTGGGGAAAACATGCTATAGCTGAATAATATTTTTAACTGTTAAATTTTGTTTAAGAATACTTAATATATTTTTTCTCCCTCGATTTTTATACCACCATGTAAGCAACTTGACTTGTATTTCATTGTCCCAAAGAGGAATGCACAGGGTGAAATGGATTAGTTGGCTAGAAGTCCTGGATTTTTACCCCATAAAGTATTCTTATTAAAAGAACTGAATTTATGGGACAAAGGAAAGGCTTTTTTGAGGGTGGAAACAAAGCCCTGGATAGAAGAGACAGACGTCATGCTGAGTCTAGAAGGAGTATGCCTCTGTTCCTTCTTCCTGGTGCACTTTTCAGAAGAGTTTATGATACCTTGTGCAGAAAATATCTGATAACAGAAGGGACCCACACCTTGGCTATCTCTCTGGGGGAAGCCAAGAAAGACTTGGGTGCAATTTCCTTTAGCTCAGTGTGATGGGGGCTCAGATACAAAATTAATTGGATTTAAAGAAGCTGTGATAGAGCTGTGATATTCCTAGCACATCAAAGTTAGTGGACTAATTGTAAATTAGTTTACAACTAATTCAGTGACCATGGGGGAGTTACTTAACCTCTCCAAACCTCATGTTCTCATCTGTAAAATAGGGATAATAAACTTACCTTAAAGGGTTGTTTTAAGCTAGTGTTTGTCAAGGACCAGCAGGGTATCATTAAATGACATCCATCATGATTACATTATGACTTTCATTTATAATAAAGTGACAATTATGTTTATATAATAGTTTCATAAAGGCTTGTTTGAGCCTATGTGAATCTCTTATTACTACGCTGTCACCCTGCCTGAATACACATTTACATTCTCTTCAATTTTTTAAAGATATAAATATATCTTTATTGTGTGAGGAGCTCATTATTGGACATAATGTCTCGAATCTGTAAAACTGGCTCAGTGTTTAAGTCAAGAACACAAGTAAGACTTGTGACTTCTTTAAATTTCAGAGCTTGACTCATAGTAAATTCCTATTTATTACATGTACATTTCAAATAAATTGAGGAAGAAATTCATTAAAAACATGAAAATGTCAACATAGAATTTTAATTATTGTGCTTACCACATACTTGAAATGTCACAAAAATCTCAGGATTATATGAACCACACAAAGTGAATGCATCTTTAGGGAATAAACATTTGTAGTATAAAGTCATATGTCCTTATTCCCTTAATGTTGCATTGTTCGAAAAATGCTAATGGGTGATGATACAATAACATTTTGTAAATTTAATTTTCTCAATGTTTCTACTCTGGGAGGGTGCATGAACAATATGCTTTAAATGATTCTGTCTTTGTTTCAATTCATCCAATTTCCTGTTAAAATGACTTTTGTTTTTGGAGTGATTTTCTCACCACTTAGTCCTCAGTGCCTTAAACCAGGGTTTTCTAACCAGTGCTAAATGCTGCACCAAAAATTGGTGTATTGCTCTGTTCTCACACTGCTAATAAAGACACAACTAAGCCTGGGTAATTGATAAACAAAAGAGGTTTAATGGACTCACAGTTCCACATGGCTGGGGAGGCCTCTCAGTCATGGCAGAAGATAAAGAAAGAGCAAAGGGACGTCTTACCTGGTGGCAGGCAAGAGAGCATTTGCAAGGGAAAGCCCCTTTATAAAACCATCAGGTCTCATGAAACTTACTCATTATCATGAGAACAGCACAGGAAAAACTTGCCCTCATGAGTCAATCACCTCCCACCGGGTGTCTCCCATGACATGTGAGGATTATTACAATTCAAGGTGAGATTTGGATGGGAACATGGAGCCAAACCATATCAATGGGTTACCAGTGTGCCTAGAGAGGATTCCTTAGTCTAAGTTGATGGGTGGGGTCTTGGGGTGGCAAGAGCTCTATGAGCCCTCCAGCTAAAGCAGCTTTTTCCATCTACAATAGTCTTCTGTGCATATATTATTATTGTCTACCTGTACCATGAAATGGAAAGTATAGATAGCTTGTCAAACAAATAAAAATTATAATTAACTTCTACCTGATTTTTTAAAATCTCATTTAGCCCTTTTGGGAGTATTTTCACATCTTAAGAAAACATTTATAGACATTTTACCTCCGTGATTCTTCTTCTTAAATTCAGATACTTGCAATGATAGTTTTCTAGAAAGAAATAAAAAGACAATAATATAGCATGGAAAAGTATCCTCTCTGAGAGTGAACAAATTAATAAGAACAAAATAAAATAAGACCAGTGTAATTTCAAAAGATTATACTAAATTTAAAAGCTCTTATGTTAAATATTGATATGTAATAATTCTTTTTTATCTTTATTTTTGATATAAGAATGCTCTTAAAATATTTTCTTAGAAGTAATTATTTTGGAAATGTCACATGGAACACCATAAAACATTCTCATAATGGCATTTTATACACTGATTTGCATCATATCTTACTTTTATGTTTCTATAAGAAAGTTTTATTTCAGGACGAGTGAATTATAAAAGAGTTTATTAAAATGGTCATCAGTACAACTCTGTGAGAAAGACCAAAATAACAGTGGTTTAAATAAGATGGGGATTTTTTTTCTCTTACAGAAAAATCCAAGCAAAGCATGGTGACTCTGAGGAGGCCAGGGATCCAGGCTCACTTACCAGGTACTACTCCAATATCCCACTTATCAAGATTATTCCCACTTCACGATCCGAAACGTCTGCTCCAACTCTGGCAAAATGTCCACATTCTAGCTGTGGGAAACAGTAAAGTAAAAGGCACAGCATTTTGTTTTTATTGGTTAACCTTAAAGTTACACACCTCTTTTCTTCTTAAATTCCTTTGGCCAGAATTTAGGTACATGGCCAAACCTAACTTCAAGGAAGAATGGGAAATGTAATCCAGTTAAAAAATGTTTATCACTGTGCAAGAGTTCAAGAGACCTTATAAAACAATTAGCAGTCTGTGGACACAGCAATAAAAGATCTCCTACGATACAAAGAAGAACACAAAGATCATTGCTGTGAGCCCTAGCATCTTTTGGTTTTACTGAAGAGTCAAAGAGAACACATAAATGTCACACACATACTGTTTTCCTTCAATCTGGAGTCTTGCTCTGTCACCAGGCTGGAGTGCAGTGACGTGATCTTGGCTCACTGCAACCTCTGCCTCCTGGGTTCAAGTGATCCCCCTGCCTCAGCCTCCCAAGTAGCTGGGACTACAGGTGCACACCACCACACCCAGCTAATTATTTTTGTATTTTAGTAGAGACAGGGTTTCACCACAGATGACACGGTTTTAGTAGATGACGGGGTTGGCCAGGATGGTCTTGATCTCCTGACCTCGTGATCTGCCCATGTTGGCCTCCCAAAGTGCTGGGATTACAGGTGTGAGCCATCACGCCTGGCCAAAAGTAAATTTATAGTGAAAATGTTTTCAATATCTAAATAGAAAAAAATAAAAATAGACAGCATAAAAAGAAGAATCAGAAGAATTTTTAAAAAGCAGATGTGAGAAATAGAAAGAAAAAATAAGTAATAAATATAAATGCATATTAAATGATGAATAATTCTAAGAGCTGATTCTTCTTAAACGCATGGAATGTCAAATAATATATTCTAATGAATCTAATGAAGTTAGAGAGAAAATGCAGAAAGTATATTTGAAAAGAGAATAGTCATAACAATAAATCAGAAAAGAATTAAGACAAAATTTTCAGTTCAGTCTTAATATTGTATTCAAAAGTATGTATTATTTTACAATTAGTAAAAATATGTTTTAAAATATAAATTCTAAATGTATGGAAGACTCTAATTTCATTAGTGAAAACTATAAATTACTGAATTTAATTTGAGAAAAAAACTATCAAAAATAGTAAAAGATTTAAAAATTATAATTTCTAAACAATTTCCAGCTTCTCTCTAAAAAAAAAAAAAAGTTTTTTAAAAACACCAAAGGCCTTAAGAAAGGACAAAAAACCAATGGGATTATATAAAATAAAACAATCAAAATATCATAACTATTAGAAGATTAAATTGCTTATTCCTGTGCTAGAAGATCTGAGACAGTGGATGAAATAGACAATACATGTTTTTGTTTACAAAATAAAAAGAAAGAAGGCTAATTTCCAATATTAATATGATAATTTTCTTGACAAAGATCTAAGGTACAAAATAACCTCAATCACATTATGACTGCTGCTTCTTTTTTATTATTATTGCTTTCTTTGGGTTTTGCTTTTTTAAAATTCGTTTACACAATATGTCCATGTAGTGACTTCTGCTCCTGGCCATGACAGCACTAACAGAGACCATAATAGAGACTTTCCTGCTAGGAAGGGCATGGCAAGCTGTTCACACCCATCTTGCTTAGACTAGGAGACAGAGATTGGATTTTAGGAAGGCTGAGGTGACCAAAATCTTAAGGGCATAGTTCCATAGAGAAGGCAGCTTTTGATATTTAAGGAAAAAACAATAACAAACATACACAAATTCTTCCAGAGACTTCTAGTCTTCCAGAGATTTGAAAAGGATGAAGCACCCGCTAACTCATTTTATGAGGTCAACATGACTTTGATAACATATCCTGACAAGAAAATTACTGATTCATGTACATTACAGTAATTTGGCTCATGAACATTAATAGAATTCTAACCAAAATAGCAAGAAACTGAATTCAGCAACATATGATGAAGATTCCATGCTTGTGAAAGGATGGCTATATTTTCCATGAACATAAAGTTTGTTCAATATTAAACATTCTCTAAACGAGTCCCTAAAAAACTTCCCTATTATAAAATTAGGGAGAAAAATATCATAGTTGCTTAAAAAAAACTGCGGAAAAGCTTTCAATAGAATTAAAGAATTGTTCATGAAAAAAGCTCTTATAAAATTAAGAATAGAAGGGAATTTTATTAATATAAAAGAGTATCCAAACAAATACATAAACAACCAACCACACCAAAATCCCTAATGCCAATATCATACTTAATGGAAAAATGATGATAGTTTTTATTTTGGAAGTGAAACAAGGATGTTCACTATTACCGTTTAGCTTCAATATTGTACTGGAGGATTAGAAAAATACTGTTAAAGACGAGAAAAAGCTCTATCCACAAAGGAAAAAACTGATAATTTTGGCTACATAAAAAGCAAAGCCTATTCCTTAAATTAGTCCTTTAAGAGAGTGACTATCAAGCCAAATAATAGAAGATATTTACAACCCATATAACTAAAAAATGGTTCATAATTAATAAATAATTCATCTTATAATCAATAATGAAAAAAGTCCTCTAGAACAATGATAGGCAACAAGTTTGAACAGGCATTTTGTAAAAGGGAATATCCATGTATGCCTTAAATAGACAACAAAGTATGTATTACTACTTTTTAAAATAGTAGTTGGGAAATGTAAAATAAAACCACAATGAGATTCCAGTAGACTTCACGAGAAGGGCTGAGATTTTATGAACTCTGACAATGTCAAGTATTAGCAAGGATACAGAACAATAGAAACTTTCATACAGATTTGGTAGAAGTATAAGAATTCTCACCATGCACACACAAAAAATTAACTATATGAGGTGATGGATATGTTGATCAGCTTGATTGTGGTAATCATTTCAACAATGTAAATGTATATCAAAATATAACATTGCACATCTTAAATATACAGAATTTTGCATTGTCAATTTTACCTCACTAAAGCTGGGGGAAAAATGTTAACATCAGGAAAAAAAAAAGCATGCAAGTTAAAAACAAAAAAGAAAGCATACAAGTTAAAAAAGACTAACCCAAAAACCACAAAAACAAGTTTCTCAGTGAGAATCAAGAATTAATATGATTAATAAATGCCACCGGAAGTGGTATTTATTAATGCCTGGGAAGTAACCTTAAACTGAGCTTTTGTGGCCCAGTGGATATAATAATGAATTTATTATATTGATAATATTAATATTGAATTTATTATTATAATCAATAATTTAAAAAGTGAATATAATAATGAATTTATTACTATATTCACTAGGCTACAATATATGGCTAAAGTTTAGAGGTAGGAAAGGTTGATCTACTCTGTCCTCAACTTTAACCAGTGAAAATCATGGAATGGTCTTTTATGAATTCTGCTATCGTGTTATTTGACCTGGCTGTCAGAACTTTAGAATCTTTTAGGACTTCCTATCATTTTATGTTCTCAAAGAAATACTTCTTTTAAGTGATGTAGTATTAACATTTTGAGAAAAAGAAAACAATGTAACATTTTCATATTTCATGAAATTTATGCCTTTTTAATAGAAAGCCACTTAAAATGAATGATTTTTGCTCATATATTAAAGAAATAGTATTATTATGAAGATATAGATCTTAGAAGCATTCCAAATAAGTTTTTTTTTCCCTACATTTTAAACTTTATAAAATGGCATCTTCCATCACTTTATAAGAATACAAAGGGCCAGGCACCATGGCTCGTGCCTGTAATCCCAGCAATTTTGGAGGCTAAGGCGGGCAACTTTCTTGAGCTCAGAAGTTTGAGACCAGCCTAGGCAACACAGAGAGACCCCGCCTTTACAAAAAACAAAAAATTAGCTGGGCGTGGTGGTACGGTGCTTGTAGTCCCAGCTACTGGGGATGCTGAGGCAGGAGGATTGCTTGAGCTTGGGAGGCAGAGGTTCCAGTGAGCTAAGACCACGCCGCTGCACTCCAGCCTGGGTGACAGAGACCCTGTCTCAAAAAAAAGAAAAAAAAGAAAGAAAAGAAAAAGGCCAGGTGCAGTGGCTCATGTCTGTTATCGCAGCATTTTGGAAGGCCGAGGAGGGAGGATCACTTGAGTCCAGGAATTTGACACGAGCCTGGGCAAATGAGGGAGATACCCATTTCCACAAAAATTAAAAATAAATTAGCTAGACATGGTGGTACATGCCTGTGGTCCCAACTACTCAGGAGGCTGAGGTAGGAGGATCACTTGAGACTGAGAGTTCAAGGTGCAGTGAGCTATGATCATGTCACTGCACTCTAGCCTAGGTGATAGAGTGAGACTTTGTCTTTAAAAAAAAAAAAATTGCATTTCGCTAATCACCAGTGATGATGAGCGTTTCTTCATATGTTTGTCGGCCACATAAATGTCTTCTTTTGATAAGTGGCTGTTCATATCTGTCCGCCCCTTTTTGATAAGGTTGTTGTTTTTTTGTTTTCTTGTAAATTTGTTTAACTTCCTTGTAGATTCTGGATATTAGACCTTTGTCAGATGGATAGATTGCAAAAATTTTCTCCCATTCTGTAGGTTGTCTGTTCATTCTGATGACAGTTTCTTGAACCAACCCAAATACCCATCAATGAAAGACTGGATAAAGAAAACGTGGCACATATACACCATGGAATACCATGCAGCCATAAAAAAGAATGAGTTCATGTCCTTTGCAGGGACATAGATGAAGCTGGAAACCATCATTCTCAACAAACTAACACAGAAAACCAAACACTGCATGTTCTCACTCATTAGTGGGAGTTGAACAATAAGAACACATGGACATAGGGAGGGGAATATCACACACTGGGGCCTGTTGGGGGGTGGGGGGCAAGGGGAGGGAGAGCATTAGGACAAACACGTAATGTATGCGGGGCTTAAAACCTAGATAATGGGTTGATGGGTGTAGATAGCCACCATGGCACATGTATACCTGTGTAACAAACCTGGACATTCTGCACATGTATCCCAGAACTTAAAGTATAATAAAAAAATGAGGCACATCTATTTAAAACAAAATTCTCATTAAAACTTTTATTATTACAAAAGAACATAAGATATTCATAACATTTTATTTATTTTCTACTCATTTCTGTTTTGACATCTGTAATTTATGTTTCTGTTCTACACTGATAATTAAAAAATAAGGGAAGTCGAACAAACTATTTTCACGCAACTGACATGAAATTATTGGCCAGCAGCCAGTATGGAATCATGTTCATGGGGTTCATCAATATGATGACATCCATGAGTGGGTTCTGCTTCGTCAATAACCAGAGAATGTCCCATCCTAGAATATCTAGAAATGTTGGATAAAACACAATAAACCTACTTTTAAGTGCACTTTGAGGCTAACAAAGAAGTAAGATAAGACATCAGATAACAAAAATGAAGAGAAGACTGAGAAGCAAAATGCTCAATATAAGAATTGATGTAGTGACTATGCCATGGAGTTTTGCTATTTTTTCTTAAAAGAGACTTAACATCCTATTGAGCAGAATATGAGTCTGGGTTTTCACATGATGGAGGATGGGATGCAGATTGAGACCTAGATGTTTGAAAAGCTATGTCCTCAGATATAAAATGCGAGACCTCTAATAGCATGGAGAAATGGAAGGGAATTTGTCTATGTTGCCTTGACTGTGGGCAGAAAAGCCAAATAAAAAGGAAATCAATGTAGCTATAGTAATTAAATAAAAAATAAAATTTAACACAAAAGCATTAATATGACAAACTATTTCATAGTATAATGATAAAATAATTTTGTGAATAATCTGTGAACTATAATAATTTTAAACCTGTACTTATCAAAATACCATCAAAACAGGTAAAGTAAAAGTTGAAAGAATTATAGCAGAAATTGACAAGTTAGTAATCATAGTGGGAGGATTTTCTGTTTTTACGTATTTCTTTCAGTTACTGATACAAGTAAAGCAGAAAAAAGTAAATAGAGATATAAAAGCTTTCAAAAAATAAATTTGTTCTAATAAATATGTAGAACCCTGAACCCAACAGTCAGAAAATATGCATTCTTCTCAAGCATACATAAAATATTTACAAATATTAACTGTGTACTAGGCCACAGACTAAGTATCAAAATATACTTAAGAACTGATGTCATGAGATCACTTTCTCTGATCACAATGCTGTTCAATTTGAAATAAATAGTAAAAAGATAATTAAGACATTTCATAAATTTGGGTACTAAAATCATATTCTAAATAATTCATTGATCAAAAAATATACTGGAAATTAGAAAATATTAGAATGATATAAAGGTATCATATTTAATAATATGTGTGATAAGAAAGCAATTTATAGCAGAAATCATTGTTTACCAAAAAATGAAAGACAGAATACTATTGACATAAGAAATCTATTTTATCTAATTATTTATATTTAAAAATAAATATAGAACAAGGGAATAAATAGAAAATGTCATTTTTTGGCCAACAGATCTATAGATTCAATGCATTCCATTAAAATGCCAATAAGTAATTTTTTGTGAAGCATGTAAAATTGATTCTAAATTTATATGGAAGTAAAAAAGTAAAAAACAGGATAGTCTCATAACAGAGCAGTAGTATATGTTATAAAGCTATAGCAAGTTTGATAATGTGAAGTTTTAGGGGTAAACAATTAAACCATAAAAAAGAATAGAAGCCCAGGAAAAAACTCTAAATATATGAACACTTGATATAATGGCAGAGATGTTATTGTAGATCAATGAGGAAAGGACTAAATTTACATTAAATAAATAAACTGAAAGAAGGAAGTAGAAAAAGGGGGAAAGAAACCTGACATACAGCAAAATGAATTTTGGTGTCTAAAGACCTAAATATAAAATACAGAATCATACAATCTGTGGATGAAAAGGTAAAAAGTTATTTTAGGAGTGGAAGTGATTATGCCATGAGACACATAAAAACAAAAACTATAATGGAAAGCATTGATAAATTTGGCCAACATTTAAATTAAGACATCCCATAGAGAGTGAAAAGACAGAACAACTGGGAAAAGTGCTTTGCCATATATTTTAATGAAAAATAACTAATATCTAGAATATGAAGGAAATCTCACAAATTGCTAAGAAAAACACAATTTTCAAATAGTTAAAAGATTTTAATAAACACTATAGAAAAGAAAATACAAATATACTCAATTTCATTAATTTTAATGGAAATGCAAATTAAATCCACATTGAGATATCATTACCTAACAACCAGACTGGTAAAAAATATATATAGAACAGCTATAGAAAACCAAGTATAGTTGAAAATGCAGAGCAGTAAAAACTCTCATATTTTTATGGCAAAACACATCCATATCTTATGAACTAGAATATCCACTCATAGGTGTATAACCTAGATGCACTCTTGCATTTTTGTCCTAGAAGACATATCTAAAAATGCTTATACAGAAAAAGAACTATTAAAAACCTAACTACTCTTCAGTAGAATTAGTAATTTTTAATTATTCATATAATATAGTACTATGTAATAACAAAAATTAATAAGCCACAGCTACATGGAAGCAACATGAATGAATCTCACAAGTAAAACTTAGAGGAGAAAATTCCCAAAATATATTATGTATCATCCCACATATATAGATTTCAAAAATGGCAAAACAAAATGTTACTGCTTAGGAATATGCATATATAACCAGTAAAACTGGAAAGAAGCAGATGGACATGTTTACAATAAAATTAAATATAATGATTATCTTATGTATTTGGTGAAGGGCATAAAGAAAAGGTTCTAAAGTAATGTTATAAGTTTCAACTTGGGTGATGATTCTATGAACATTTCAACTGCACACGTGCTTTACACTCTGGTTCTCCTTTTAGCCTGTGGTTCCTTGAAAATAGTCTGATGCAAGGATTAAGTACTGAGGCTTTATTTGTGATGTACAATTCTACGAAATGAGAATCAGGGCAAACAAGTGAGGCGGGGAAAGATATGTACAGTGCAAGATGATGTGGTATCATGCTAATTATGTTTCTTGACGTAATGCAAATGACACAGTTGGCAACTTGGTAGGTGCACCTGCTATGCCTTAGAGGATATCTCCAGGCAGGGTCTATGGAGAAACTGTGACTGGGAATAGAACATCGAAGGGAAGGAGAGAGAACTTATATAATTGACTTGTTTGTCTTCTCTCCCCATTTGTCAAAGTCCACCACCTGAGGTGTCAATTACCCTGCAATTCTGGGTTACATTATTTGGTCCCTTTAGCAGCTGCTTGAAAAGCTAGATTTTATTCTTTCTCTTGTGTTTCACTCAGGATCAAGATGCTTTTGGAGAGCTGGATACTCCTAGACTGTGGTCAATTGGCTTTAGATGGAGGAATTGTGTGAGTGTGATTGGAGTTGGATTACCATGAGACCAAATGCTGTGAAGCAAATAGAGAGGAAGGTCCAGGAGGCAAGAGAAGTCAAGAGGATATTAAGGAGGTGTGTAACATGTATCTGAGAATAATACATTTTAAAATAAAATAAATTAACATATATTTTGTATATACCTTATATTATCCATAAACACTTACTTGAAAGAAAACTATTCTTCCTAGCAGCCATTACTTTAAGATGCACTCTGGCATTCTGATAAAAGAATGTTAACTTCTTGATTTCTTTGTAAAGAAAATTAATTTTTATTTCTGAGATAAAAAACAAATCAATTTGTAGCTTCATATTGGCTCAGACAGAAATGAGCCCATAAAAGCATCTTTTTTTAATAGTGTCTTAAAATTTCTACTTTATTTCAAGGGATTATATTACTTATTACTATTACTATATAAGCTATTTCTGACATATTAAATGGAAATTTCCATTCACACTGCAAGTTACTTATTTTCAATCACTATGCTTTACTATCCTGATTCAAAGTAGTTTTGAGAATAATTTTCTTATCTCCCATAATGTGAGTTTTAGTTTTCACTAATAAAGAAGATGTATCATGTCAAAAATTCTTCTTTGGATTTAATGATAATTGTAAATGAAATTGTAATTTAAAAATATCATAACACAAACCACAGACTTTTGAAAAGGATCAGGGTTTAACAAACTCTAACTTTATTGTTCTTTGTCATACTCACTTTATGAAACCAAAGCATCGATTAAATACAACTCTGCATATTTTGTGCCCAGACTGTGACTAAGAATGAACAAAACAAAACAAAACAAAAACACAAAAAACAAAATGAAATAAAACGTATTTACCAATCTTAATTTTCATTTATGATCAGTAAACTAAGAGGGTTTTTCATGCTGCTCATCGATCATAATTTATTTTCCTAGTTGATTTTCTCTTTCTCATACTTCTCATTCTTTCCCCTCTCCTCACACGTGGTGCATGGCTTCCCTATCCTCATTATCAGCCGATGACTTATTTTCTTTCTTCATTAAAAAAATGGAAGCAATAGGAAAAAAAATTTCCAACAGCTCCAACCACCACATCCACAAAGGTATCTATAGAGGTTCGTATACATAATATTTTGCCTCCTGTTATATTGAATAAACTCCATGCTCTTCACTAAGGACAACTTCTGCATTGGGCTCGCTATTCTTTTCTCACTTACTCACTCAAGGATAATACTCCAGCAATTCTCTCACTTGTCTCCTGCATCATCATTTTTTTTCCTTTTTCTTAGATCATGCCTATCAGCAAGCAAGTATGATTTGTTAATGCTACCATCATCAAATGCTCTTCTCTTTTCATATCTCCCTCTAGCTATCACATAATCTTTTATCTTCCCTTTAAAAAATTTAAGGACTCTTTAAAATAGTTGTCCATGCTTGTGCTCTCCTCTCATTCTCTTTGAATTCATTGCAATCATGTTCCCATCACACCATTCCACTAAAACTGCACTTTATCAAGATTAGCAGTGAAATTCCATTGCTGGTAATCATTTCTCTATCCTCATCTTGACTTACAAGGAACATTTGTCATAGTTGATCATAGTGTCCATCTTGAAACATGTTCTCCACTTGACCTTCCACAACACGCTCGCCTAGTTTTCCTCTTACCTTTACAGTCACTTGTTCTCATTGTCTTTTGCTCACTCCCCTTCATCTCCTCTACATCTAAATATTGGATTGTCAAGGAGATAGTAGTTGGACATCCTCTCTTTTTTATTTACACTAACTACTACATAGGTAACCTACACTAGTCAAATGACTCTACATATTTGATGATTCCCAAATTTATATCTCCAATCTTGACCTCTCCCTTGAATTCCAGAAGTGCCTAAGTCTTCTCTAATTAAGTTGATTACAACTAAGTTCTTCCAGATTTTGAGTTAAAAACGTTGTTGTCATCCTTGGCTCTTCTATTTCTATGACACCCATCTAGTGTGACAGAAGTTTTCACCAGTTCTGCCTTTAAAATATATCCATGATTTGATATTTCATCACTGTGTTAGTCCATTCTTTCATGGCTATAAAAGAATACCTGAGACAAAGTAATTTATACAGAGAAGAGGTTTAATTGGCTCATGATTCTGTAGGCTGTACAGGAAGCATAGTGCTGACATCTGCTCAGCTTCTGGTGAGGCCTCAGGAAGCTTACCATCATGGTGGAATGGAAAGAAAGCTGATATCCCACAAGACAAGAGTGGGAGCAAGAGTGGAGGAAGGTGCCACACTCTTTTAAACAACCAGATCTTGCATGAACTAACTGAGGGAGAACTCACTTATAACTAAGGGGATGACATTAAACCATTCATGAGTCATCCATGCCCATGATCCAATAACCTCCCATCAGGCCCCACCTCTAACACTGGAGGTCACATTTCAACATAAGATTTGGAGGGGACAAACATCCAAACTATATAAATCACTCTACTCACTGCCACTCCTGGTCAAAGCCTCGAACATTTATTATCTAGATTTTTGTAAAAGTGCTTCTAATTGGTATCTGAGCTTCTGCACTTACCAGTCCTGTCTACTCTTAACAGAATGATCCTGCTCAAATGCAGAATTGCCTAAAATCCTTCTAGTATTCCTTATCTTAGAGTAAATGTCAAGGCTTTAACTGATCTTCGAGGCCTTATAAGAACCCGCTCTGTGTTACTCTTCTGATTACATTTTCTATTCTTTTGTAGACTCTCCTCCAGCCACACTGAATTTCTTGCTGTTCCTTGAATACACCAGCTACTTTCTAACCCAGGGTCTTTCACTTTCCTAGAAAGCTCCTGCTCCAGATAACAGCAAATTTCAGAGATTTTATCTTCAAAGGGTATATGAACACTCCATATATTTTAAAATTTTAATACCAACTTCTACATACATAACTCATGTGATGAAGAAGAAACAAAAATGGAAGTTAGAATACATTCAGCAATAAAAATGTTGTAGGAACTTCTTATCAAAATTTATGGGATATAGTCAAAACTTTATACGGGGGAAAATTACAGCCTTAATTGCTTTATGAAAAAATATATATTCTTGGTGCCTTTGTCAAAAATCAGTTGGAGGTAAACACATGGATTAGTTTCTGATTTCTCTGTTCTATTCTGTTGGTCAATGTGTCTGTTTTTATGCCAGTACTATGCTGTTTTGGTTACTACAGCTTTGTAGCATATTGTGAAGTCTTGTAGTGTGATGCCTCCAGCTTTGTTCTTTCTCCTTAGGATTGCTTTGGCTATTCAGGTTTGTTTGTTTTTCCACAAAAATTTGGATTTTTTTTTTCCATTTCTGTGAAGAATGTTGGGGTTTGGTCATGATGGCTGAGTAGAAGCAGCTAGTGTGCACCACTCTCACAGAGAGGAATGGAAGGGGCAAGTAAATACAGCACCTTCAACTGAAACATCTAGGTACATGCAGTGGGACTAATCAAGGAAACAACTCGACCTACCAAGAGCAGAGAAAAGCAAGGAAGGATGGCTGCCCACCTAGGAATGACATGGAGCCAAGGCAACCTCCCATGCCCAGGGAAGTGATGAGTGACCCCTGGAACCCATCCTTCCAACACAGATCTTTGCAACCCTTGGGTCAGAATATCCACGTGTGAACTCACTCCTTCAGGGCCTTCAGTCTGACATGCAGAGGTACGTGAAGTCTTGGCAGAGCAGCTGCTCAGGCACATGCAGAGCCCAGGGAGCCTTAGATACCCCCAAAATTAACAAAGATATTCAGGACCTGAAATCAACATTGGACCAAATGGATCTGAGAGACCTCTACAGAAGTCTCCACCCCAAAACAAGAGAATGTATATTCTTCTCATCACCACATGGCACATACTCTAAAATTGACCACATAATCATACATAAAACAACCCTCAACAAATGCAAAAGAATGAAAATCATACCAAACATACTTTCAGACAACAACACAATGAAAATAGAAATCAATACTAAAAATATCACTCAAAACCATGCAATTACATGGAAATTAAACATCATACTCCTAAATGACATTTGGATAAATAACAAAATTAAGGCAGAAATAAAGAAGTTCTTTGAAACAAAGATACTACGTACCAGAATCTCTGGGACACAGCTGAGGCAGTGTTACAAGGGAAATTCATAGCACTAAATCCTCAAATCAAAAAGTTAGAAAGGCCTCAAACTACCAACCTAACATCACAAATGGAAGAATTAGAGAATCACGAGCAAACCAACCCCAAAGCTGGTAGAAGACAAGAAATAATATAAATCAGAGCTGAACTGAAGGAAATCAAGACACAAAAACCGATTAAAAAGAGCAACAATTTTAATTAATAAGATAGACTGTTAGCTATCTAGCAGTCAATAAGACAAATAAAGATGAAAGCAGAGAAAATCCAAATAAACACAATTAGAAATGACAAAGGGGATGTTATCACTGACCCTACAGACATAAAAATAACAACCAGAAACCACTATGAACACCTATATGCACACAAACTGGAAAACCTAGAAGAGATGGACAAATTTCTGGACAGACATACAACCTCCCAAGACTGAACCAGTAAGAAATTGATTTCCTAAACAGACCAATAATGAGCTCTGAAACTGAATCAGTTATAAATAGCCTACCAACCACAAAAAGTCCAGAACCAGGTGGATTCATGGCCACATTCTACTGGATGTACAAAGAAGAGCTGGTGCCATTCCTACTGAAATTATTCCAAAAAATAGAGGAAGAGGGACTCTTCCTCAACTTATTCTATGAGGCCAGCATCATCCTGATACCAAAGCCTGGTATAGACACAACAAAAAAGAAAACTTCAGGCCAATATCCTTGATGATCATAGATGCAAAAATAATAAAATATTTGCAAACCAAATCCAGCAGCACATCAGAAAGCTAATCCATCACACTCATCCTCGAGATGCAAGTTGGGTTCAACATACAAAAATCAATAAATGTAACTCATCATATAAGTAGAACTAAAGACAAAAACCATATGATTATTTTAACAGACACAGAAAAGGCTTTCAATAAAATTCAACATCCCATCATGTTAAAAACTCTTAATAAACTAGGTATTGAAGGAACATATCTGAAAATAATAACAGCCATCTATGACAAACCCACAGCCAAGATTGTACTGAATGGAGAAAAGCTGGAAGCATTCCCCCTGAAAACCAGCAAAAGATAAGGATGTCCTCCTTCACTACTCATATTGAACATAGTATTGGAAGTCCTGGTTAGAGCAATGGGGCATCCAAAAAGGAAAAAAGGAAGTCAAACTATCCCTCTTTGAAGACAACATGATTCTATATCTAGAAAACTCCACAGTCTCAGCCTCAAAGCTCCTTCAGCTGATAAACAACTTCAGCAAAGTTTCAGCATACAAAATCAATGCACAAAAAAACTGGCATTCCTATACATCAACAACAGCCAAGACGAGAGTCAAATCAGAAATGCAAGTTCATTCACAATAGCCACAAAAAGAATAAAATACCTAGGAATACAGCTAACCAGGGAGATGAACGATCTCTACATTGAGAATTACAAAATGCTGCTCAAAGAAGTCAGAGACAGCATAAACAAATGGAAAAACATCCCATGCTCATGAATAGGAAAAACCAGTATCATTAAAATGGCTGTACTGCCCAAAGCAATTTATAGATTCAATGCTATTCCTATCAAACTACCAATGACATTCTTAACAGAACTAGAAAAAGCTCTCTTAATATTCATATGGACCCAAAAGAGAGCCAGAATAGCCCAGGCAATCCTAAGCAAAAAGAAGAAAGCTGCAGGCATCATGTTACTTGATTTCAAACTATACTACAAGGATACAGTAACCAAAACATCATGGTACTGGTACAAAAATGGACACATAGACCAATGGAATATAATAGAGAATCCAGATATAAGGCTGCACATCTATGACCACCTGATCTTCAACAAAGCTGACAAAAAACAATAAATGGGGAAATGACTCCCTATTCAATAAATGGTTCTGTGATAGCTGAGTTGCCGTATGCAGAAGACGGAAATTAGACCCCTTCTTTACACCATATACAAAAATCAACTCAAGATGGATTAAAGACTTGCATGTAACACTCAAAACTATAAAAACCTTTGAAGACAATCTAGGTAATACCATTCTGGACATAGAAGAACAGGCAAAGATTTCATGACAAAGATCCCAAAAGCAATAATAACAAAAGCATAAATGGAAAAATGGGATCTAATTAAACTAAAGAGTTTCTGCACAGCAAAAAACAAACAACCCCATTAAAAAGTGGGCAAAGGACATGAATGGACACTTTTCAAAAGAAGACATACACATGGCCAATAAGCATATGAAAGAAACCTCAAAATCACTGATTAATAGAGAAATGCAAATCAAAACCATATTGAGATGCCATCTCATACCCGTCAGAATGATTATTAATTAAAAGCCAAAAAAGAACAGATGCTGGCAAGGTTACAGAGAAAGGGAACCCTTATAGATTCTTGGTGGGAGAGTAAATTAGTTCAACCATTGTGGAAAGCAGTGTGGTGATTCCTCAAAGAGCTAAAAGCAGCTACCATTTGACCCAGTGATCCCATTATTTGGTATAGACCCAATGCAATAGAAATCATTTTACCATAAAGACGCATACATGCAAATGTTCACTGCAGAACTTTTAACAAGAACAAAGACGTGGAACCAATCTAAATGCCCATCAATGACAGATTGGATAAAGAAAATGTGGTACATATATGCCATGCAATATTATGCAGCCATAAAAAAGAATGAGATCATGTATTTTGCAGGTACATGGATGGAGCTGGAGGCTGTTCTCCTTAGCAAACTAACACAGAAACAGTAAACCAAATATCACATGTTCTTACGTATAAGTGGGAGCTAAATGATGAGAGCACATCGACACATAGAGGGGAACAATGCACACTGGGGCCTATCAGAGGGTGAAAGGTGTGAGGAGGGAGAGAATCAGGAAAAATAACCAATGGGTACTAGGCTTAATACCTGGGTAATGAAATAATCTATACAACAAACCCCCATAACTCAAGTTTACTTATGTAACAAACCTGCACATATACCCCTGAACTTAAAATAAAAGTATTTCAAAAAAGCCCTTCCTTCCTGGAAAAAAAAACCAACATATCATATCATGAGTACCTCACTAACAATATCATGATATGGTAATATTTGACACATAAGATGGGAAAATGTTAGAATGTTTAATAATGTCAAAAATTGACAAGGCTAACTATCTCTGGTACAGGGAGAAGTGGAAGACATCATCTGGAGAGGTTCATACGGGAGGTATAACTGTAGTTTTCTTAAACTGAATGATAGAAGAGCAGGTATTTTCTTTAAATAAGTATTCACTGTGCCTTGCACCTATATCATAAATGTTATTTTGTACTTACTCAATATTTCATAAAAATTGTCAACAAACCTCAAGGGGTTTCATGGGAATAATAAAATCCTTTAACATTCTATATTCAAATGAATGAGGCAAATAGGAAGATTTTCCAGGAAACCATAGGGAAATGAATACACTCCCCAAGCAGTTATTTGATTTTGTCACAAGTCGGTGTTCATTGCTTATCAAGAGGGAACAAAATCAAACAAAGATTTTCTCACAAGGTAGCTAATATTTCTTCTGTCCTCTACCCTAACCCAATTTTAAATTTTAAAAAGAAGCTAAAATTATTAAATTTAACCAAAGAGATTTTAGAAACTGAGTGCTAAAGAATGAGAATGAGAGGCAGAAGGCTGAGATATGTAAGCTTAAACTACTTCCATTTGATAGAGTAGGCTATTTTCTGGAAATTCATGGTTATATTTAATTGATGTCATTTTTAACATTATTATTATTAATATCATTTTTAAATGAAACATAAAATATTTGTAGCTTGGGAAGTGATATCACTTACTAGTAAATATCATAGTCTTTGCAGTCAGATAAACAGTGGGTTTGGATCCTACTTCCAGCATTAATGAAATGTGAATAAGAAAGTGGGGGGAGGGGGGAGGGATAGCAGTGGGAGATATACCTAATGCTAGATGACGAGTTAGTGGGTGCAGCACACCAGCATGGCACATGTATACATATGTAACTAACCTGCACAATGTGCACATGTACCCTAAAACTTAAAGTATAATAATAAAAATAAATAAATAAATAAATAAAAAGGAAAAAAAGAAAACATTTCTTAACTGCTTTAATTTAAATTTTAAATTCATGAAAAATAATTGTATATATTTATGGGGTACAATGTGAAATTTTGACATATGTATATATTTTGAAAGAATGACATCAAGCTAATTAACATATCCAACATTTCACATACTTATTTTTTTGGTAGTGAGAATATTTAAAATCTACTCATAGCAATTTTGAAATGTACAATATATTATTATAAACTATGATCACTATGTTATGCAATGGATCTTGAAAACTTATTCCTCCCGACTAACCGAAACTTTGTACTCTTCAATCAACATCTTCCCAATCCCTCTCCTGCACCCTTCTCCCCAGTCTCTAATAACCACCATTCTACTCTTTGGTTCTATGTCGACTTCTAAGAAAAAATTCACGTATAAGTGAGATCAAGCAGTATTGATTTTTCTGTGCCTAGCTTATTTCACTTAATGTTTTCCATGTTCACCCATGTTGTTGCAAATGACAGAATTTTATTCTCTTTCTAAAAAAAAATTATTGCATGTATTTGAACTTTATAGCATGATGTTATTTGATGCATATAGATACACAGACATATGTAGATAGTGTAATGGTTACTATAGTGAAACAGTTTAACATTTTCTTCTTCTTTAGGGCTGAATAGTATTCCATTGTGTATATACACTAGATTTTCTTTATCCATTCATATGTTGATGAACACTTGGGTTGATTTCATATTTTGGCTATTGTAAACAATGCTTCAATGGATATGGGGGTGCAGATATCCCTTTGATATACTGAATTTATTTCTTTTGGATATATACTCAGAAGTGGCATTGCTGGATCATATGGTAGCTCTATTTTTAGTTTTTGAGAAACCTACATACTGTTTTCCATAATGACTGCACTAATTTACATTCCCACTAACAGAGTACAAGGCTTCCCTTTTCTCCACATCCTTGCCAGCACTTGTCTTTTATCTTTCTAAAATTAGCCACTCTGGCAGTTGTGAACTGGTATCTCACTGTGGTTTAATTTGCATTTCTTCCATGATTAGTGATGTTGAAAATGTTTTAATAATGTCTATTCAGATCCTTTGCCCATTAAAAAAATCAGGTTATTTGTTTTCCTGCTATTGTGTTGTTTGCATTTTAACTTCTGTGATAGTCTTATTGTAATAGTCTCAGTTTCCTCATCGGCTACATGAGCAAAATATTACCTACCTCATATGATTTCTATGAGGTTTAAATGACTCAGTACTTACTTAGCCTGTTGTACAAACCCTGACATTTTGTAAGTACTCTATAAGTGATAACCATGATAACTCTATTTAATTTTACATTCTAAATTAAAAGCATTAAAAAAGCAGCAATTTTCAATTCCTAGTTAAACACCAACTCTGCTAAGGATGATCAATTTGTGTAAAGACTATTAGTTTTGATAGAAAACCAGTTTTGATAGAAAATGAGTTTTGATTTGAAAGAAGCCAAAGTAAAACAACAGAGATCACTTTCCTGTCCCAAGGGGTATAAGTAGCCATATTTCAGGGAATCAGACTGTCATGAGCTAAATTCAGTGGCATCATTAATGGTGAGTTATCTAGATGTCCTCTGATGTGATAATGTGTACTGCATCTATGACATATTCTTAATCAAATAACCATTTAGAATTAAATTTGGGAAAAAAGAACAAGCTAAATTACTTTGGGGCATATCCTTAGAAGGTAGAATATTCTTCAATATAACTGCCAAGGTCTCTTCAACAACTCAATGCCATAAAAGGAAATATAAAAAGAAGGTGAAGGTGTTAATAGATTTAAAAAGAAGAGGAGGCCAAGCATGATGGCTCATGCCTGTAATCACAGCACTTTGGGAGGCCGAGGCAGGGGGATCACCTGAGGCCAGAGTTTGAGATCAGCCTGGCCAACATGGCGAAACTCTGTCTCCACTAAAAGTACAAAAATTAGCCTGGCATTGTGGTGGGCATCTATAATCCAAGCTACTTGGGAGGCTGAGGCAGGAGGATTGCTGGAACCTGGGAGGCGGAGGTTGCAGTGAATCAAGATTGTGCCACTGCACTCCAGCTTGGGTGACAGAGCGAGACTCTGCCTCAAAAACAAATAAATAATTAATTAAATAAATAAAATTTTAAAAAGGGGCTCCAGGACTATAAAAAATAGACGCAATATGTGTCCTGGCTTGGATAAGCCAACCCTAACGGGCATTTCTAGGACAATTAGAAAAGTTAGAATATAAACTATATGTTAGGGCCTGGCATGTTGCCTCTCTCTTGTAATCCCAGCACTTTGAGAAGTCAAGGTGGGCAGATCACTTGAGGTCAGGAGTTTGAGACCAGCCTGGCCAACGTGGCAAAACCCTATCTCTACTTAAAAGTAAAATAATTAGCTGGTCGTTGTGGCGAACACCTGTAATCTCAGCTACTTGAGAAGCTGAGACGGGAGAATCGCTTGAACCTGGGAAAGGAGAGGTTGCAGTGACCCAAGATGGTGTCGCTGCACTCCAGCCTGGGCAATAGAGCAAGACTCTTGTCTCAGAAAACAAAACAAAACAAAACCCTGCATGTTAGTTAAGATGAAAAGTCATTGATAAGAAAATGTGAATATTATGTGAATATTAGGCAACTGACATAGATATCTTTCTGTGTGTGTGTGTGTACATATATAAACATAGCAAAATATCTGGAAGGTTTTACACTGAAGTGTAATCTATAGTATATGTGTGATAATCTATGAATGGTAGAAATATTGCATTTTTATTTTATTGAGTTCGTTTATCTGAATTTTCTTTTTTTTTTCTTTTTGAGACAGAGTCTTGCTCTGTCGCCCAGGCCAGAGTGTAGTGGCGCGATCTCTGCTTACTGCAAGCTCCACCTCCCAGGTTCATGCCATTCTCCTGCCTCAGCCTCCCGCGTAGCCAGGACTACAGGCATCCGCCACCACAAACAGCTAATTTTTTTGTATTTTTAGTAGAGACGGAGTTTCACTGTGTTAGCCAGAATGGTCTCGATCTCCTTACTTTTTACAATGCACACTGAATGCATTGAGTTTTTTTAAATTAAGGCACTGCCTTTGTAATTAAACAAACTTTGAAATATGTTTGAGATAAATATCATAACAGATGTGCTAATTGACCACATAGGTAGTGTGTCTATATTCCACAGGCAAAGAATTATTTAAATCAAATATCTAACCTTAGGTGAATGTGAAGTCCTCTATGTATTTCCTCATTCCTAACTGAATGTATGTTGAAGCCTAAGCCTCTCAGGCATTGTCAGATATTGTCAGATCCCATCATGGCAGTCACTGGGAATTACTGAGGACTTCAGTTGAGTGTAGAGTAGAGACAGTAATAAACATTACTAATACTTTTAATTACTAACAAAAATACAATTTTACAAAGATTTCTCTAAAGAATATATTTAGCCTAGTATTTAAATAATTAAATAAATTCAAATGACACTGTGAATTTATTTTTATGTAAATCATCTAACAACGAGTGGTATTTTTTCATACAGTGATTACCAGGAAATTATAACATGTCTAACTTGTCATGATTCTTCAGAATATATGTGCTAAAAGTTTGCTCCTAGCAAATCACAAAGCAACCTCATATTTGTAATGTGAATTACACTTATCATTTACTCTTCTTCTTGAAACCATTTATTTTCAATATTGTTAAAACGTAGCATCCTTAAATTTTGCATGCATTTCTTAAAATTTCACATTCCTTTCTATAAACAGTAAACATTCCTATTATTTGTCATAAAATTATCGTTGAAAAGCAGGTACAGGCCAGGCACAGTGGCTCACGCCTGTAATCCCTGCACTTTGGGAGGCCAAGGTGGGAAGATCACAAGGTCAGGAGTTCGAGACCAGCCTGGCCAACATGGTGAAACCCCGTCTCTACTAAAAATACAAAAATTAGTCTTGCGTGGTGGCAGGCGCCTGTAATCCCAGATACTTGGGAAGCTGAGGCAGGAGAATCGCTTGAACCTGGGAGGCAGGGGTTACAGAATGCACCACTGCACTCCAGCCTGGGCGACAGAGCAAGACCCCATCTCAAAAAAAAAAAGAAAAAAAGAAAAGCAGGTACAGCTAGAGTTCTAGTATGGGATACTATTGTTTAAGCCTTCTCTATAGCAGGATAAATCTATCAGTCAAATTTGCATATGTCCACAAAGTAGATATACAATTACTCACTTACTAATATTTATGTTCTCTGATTGATTTTGCTAAGCTCATCTGATAAAAATCATAAAATAATCTCCTGGAGAAGTTTTTATTTGCTGATCATTTGAGAAGTCCTATGTCTGAAATGATTAGTTTAGTAAGTGACCATAAACTTTAGTTTTTTCTTATGGTATATTATATGAAAATAATACATAGAATTATGAAGATTTTGAGCTGCCAGAGACTTTAGAATTGACCTATTCCACTTTATCATTTCTCAAATATAGAAACTGATGTGGGAATTAAAGTAGCTGAGATAAATAGAATTTGAGAAACTTTTAAGGCAATTTATAAATATTTTCTATATTATTATAAATTAAATTATTATAATTCAAATTCTAAATTAATAATATATAATAGTTACATATATTATTATAATATATTAATTCTATGAATAATATGATAATAGTTTGTTATACATAAAATAATTTATATTATAAATCAGATTTATAATATAAATTATAATTTAATTATATTTAAGATAATTTAATATAATTAAATGTAAATATTTTTATGTTCTAAGTCCTATCATCACCTTTTTAATTTAAGTGCCATGTCCTCCAGACATCCTATTTCTTCCCCTTCATGAAATTTATGTAAAAATGTGGCCAAGCATGATGGCTTACACCTATAATCCCAGCACTTTGAGAGGCTGAGGCAGGAGGATCACTTGTGCCTAGGATTTTGAGACCAACCTGGGCAACATAGCAAGACCCTATCTCTACAAAAAATTAAAAATTAAAAAATTAAAAAAATTAAAAAAAATTAACCAGGCATGGTGGTGCACACCAGCTACTTGGGAGGATCGTTTCAGCTTGGAGGGTGAGGTTGCAGTGAGCTGTGATAGTACCACTGCACTCCAGCCTGAGTGACAGAGCAAGACCTTATCTCAAAAAACAAAGAAGAAAATCAATTCATGGAAAAATGTAATTATCATACTTATTTAAAAATTAGAATTGGTTTTCTGCATGTGAACTTGAGGTCTGCGACAGTGGAGGCCTAGTCTGCCTGCTCACCTCATCTTCAATGTAGAGAGCAGCCTGGGCCTTATCAGGCAGATTTGTCACATGAATGGTAAAAACAAGCTTCAAATCTGGCTTCTATTAAAAAAACACATTGTCGTTCTAGGTGGCTTTTGTTAGGTTATAGAGAGCTCGAAATTTTCCTTGTTATTTTGAGTAGCCAAAATTAGCCTTAGCTCCACAAAAGTTGTCACCATAGCATCTATTTTAAAAACCCACATATATTAATTATCTTCATGATAGCTGAACATATCTCTGTGTTCTTCATATAATTAACAAGAACTTACAGTTCAGAAGAGAGAGAGAGAGGGTGGGAGAGAGGGAGAGGGAAGTGTGTGAATCATTTACATTTATTAAATGTACTGATGGTATATACAGCATTTTTTTTTCATTCTCATACCAGCTCAATTAAATAGAAATTTAAATATTTAATTGATAATGAAGGAATCTGAGTGCCAGAGAAGTAACTTCCTTAAAGTCACATGGCTGGTATATGTTGGTATTAGATTTCAAACTTTGTTTTAACTCCAATGCCCATTGTCATGTGCCATGAAATACAGTTCGTACAGTTCAGAACTTCTCCTCTTCCTCTACCCAAAGTGGGTCTCACCACCTCATCCCAACCCACTGCTCCCCTCAGCCAAATACTCCATGACTCACTGGTTCTGAAACCAACTTTTCATCTGTGGCATTTCATCAATAACATTTAGTTTCCTTAGGTCTTTCCTCTTGCTGACCTTATACATTGTGCCCTGTGGAATAGCATTTTAAACTTAGGCAAAACTCCCCTTTGCTTAAAAATAATTTCACACCATTCCATTATATCATCTGAAAAACACCGCTCTCCTCAGAAAATGCTGTTTTCGAGATAATCCTTAACTCCAAGAGTTTCATCCTCGATTACAATCCTAACTCCATGGAATAAAGTCCCCATCTGCCTTAAATTGTAGAATATATTTGAAAGAGTCTTATAAAATGCAAAAGTGTTAAATAAAAATGTATTGCTTGGTTATTATTATTATCCATGCTGATTATATCAGAATGCTGATCAAGCCTTGCTGTCTTTATTTCTTAACAGGTGAGGCCCTTCTCTAATCTTTCCATTCTCCTTGCTCTGTTCTCTAAGAAAGTTGTTCTTAAACTTAAGTGTGCACCCAGTCACCTGAAGGACTTGTTAAACATGAGCAGGTGATGGGAATGTTAATTTTTTGACTGTGGTAATCATTACGATACATATGCATGTATCAAAGCATCATGCTGTACACCTTAAATAAATACGGTAAAAATAATGTTTTTTAAGAACATTTTTAAAACAAATAAATGTTTTTTAAAAAACATGGATTGATAAGCCTTCGCCTCAGAGTTTCTGATGCAGAAATCAGCCCCCTCAAGTTGCAGATCTATCACACTTATAGATGCTGCTGATCCAAAACCCATGCTTTTGGAACCTCTGCTGTAAGGGAAAAAAAAAGAAATCACGTCCCCAGATCCCAGACTCCAGCTTTTGGCCTGTCTGTCCACTGTTTCATTCTCTCATCCAAAATGACACTTTTAAACATCCAAGTTCTCCACTTATCAGATCCCTTGACCTCATGCTTAATATTGCCAAGTCACCTCAGCCACACATGGAACTAAGCCCCTAACATAAAATATTGCTCCCAATCACACTGAAATTCAGCTCTTTTGCACCATTTCTTTTCTCTGCCTCCCCCTTAACTCTGAAAACATGTTTTCTCTGTTGACTGCGGAATGCAACGTTACTCATGCCAGCCCTCTTTGCTAAGATCAGTCTTCTCTCGTTGGACCAAACTTGAGTCCTTTTCACCTTGTAGTAAGTGGTCAGCTGCCTCTGTGCTCCTCTTGCCAGTATTTTGGACTCTCTTGAGGACCCTCCCATCTCTAGCCTTGGATTGCTCCACGGTGAGCCTTCTGCTCACAGACTGCAGAATGCTGCTGGAGAAAGTTGTGTGGCTTAGTGCAGCTGGTGCCCTGCGAGAGCCTGCTGTACAATTTCAGTTTGGCCAGGGTCTCCTGCTCACCACTCCTTCTATTTATCCTCGTTGACTTCTTGGATCATTTTCCATGGAAACTTTTCAGGCTGTGTTTTATTTCTTAAAGAAATAAAACCATTCTCCCTGGGGGCTTAAAGCCCCCAATCCCATTAGTTCTCTCATCTTTAATTCAATTTATCTGTTCCTATATCTATATTTATTCTTCTCTCACATCTCAGAGCAAGATATACCGTCTCTCGAAAGTTAAAGTCGGATGTTGCAAAAGAATGTCTGATGTTCCTTTGCTCTCATCTCTTCACATGTATAAAGGAACTTACTTGACTTCTGTCTTCACTGCCATCCCTTTTAAGTTAATCTTCCTATTTTCCCTATTGGGATTTCTCCTGGCTTTGAAAAATGCCTCAGTTTTCTCGATTAAAGTGACATTTTTGCTTCATCCTGCTTTCCTTTCCCAATATTATTTCATTTCTCTTATTAATTAGGGTCTTTGAATGAACAGTTGATATGGTTTGCATGCATGTCCCCACCCAAATCTCACGTTGATATGTAATCCCTAGTGTTGGAGGGTGAACCTGGTGGGGGGAGGTGATTGGATCATAGGGGCGGATCACTCATGAATGGTTTACCACCACCCTCTTGATGCAGTCCTCACGATAGTGAGTGAGTTCTCTCTCACGAGATCTGGTTGTTTAAAAGTGTGTGGCATCTACCCCCTTACCACTACTTCTTTCTCCCGCTTTTGCCATGTGACAGATTACTCCCCCTGATTCACCTTCCCCCATGAGTAAAGGCTCCCTGAGTCGTCCCCAGAAGCGGAGTGATGTTGGTGCCATGCTTGTACAGCCTGTAGAACTGTGAGACCTTTAAACCTCTTTTAAAAATAAATTACCCAGTCTCAGGTATTTATTGTAATACAAGAACAGCCTAATATAAAGGTCTTATTCAATTAAGTTCATAAATTTCCTCAATAACATCTTTCCCCCTCAATTTTCGGAAAATTGGATGGGACCCAATCATTCCATGAAAACACTTCCTCTGAAGTTAATTACAGCAGACTCCATCTCCTTCATCTCTTCCTGCCCCAACTGAATTGAAGGCCTGTGTTGATTCTCATTGATTTCTCTACTGCGATTGTATCTATTTGCCTTTCTATTAAAAAATATGATTTTCTTGACCTCTGAGACACTACATTCTCCTTTTTTTTTTTTTTTTTTTTTTTTCAGTTTTCTGTTTAACTTTCTTCTCCAATTCTTTTTTATTTTTATTTTTGAGATGGAATCTTGCTCTGTTGCCCAGGCTGGAGTGCAGTGTCACAATGTCAGTTCAGTGCAAACTCTGCCTCCTGGGTTCAAGCGATTCTCCTGCCTCAGCCTTGCAAGAAGTAACTGGGATTACAGATGCACGCCACCATGCTCAGCTATTTTTTGTATTTTTAGTAGTGACGGGGTTTCACCATGTTGGCCAGGCTGGTCTTGAACTCCTGACCTCATGATAGGCCTGCCTTGGCCTCCCAAAGTGCTGGGATTACAGGCATGAGCCACCACACCCAGCCTCTTCTCCAATTCTTAACCATTCCTCTCCCTACCTCATTTTTGGCCCAAGCTTAATCTTTGGTTTCCATGTTATATTATTCCTTTGGAGTCATTACTGTCTTGTCTAGTCTTTTGGCTGTCATTCTCACCTTTGGCTCCAATTTTTAACACTTCTAGTTCCTACAGGACTTTTCCTTTGCATATGCCCAAGCTTTGTTTCTTTCTACAAAAAAAAAAAAAAAAAAAAAAAATAGAAAGAAAAAGAAAAAAAAATTCCCTTCCCATCTTCTCTCCCCTTTTCTTTCAAAAGCAGCAACATTCACAGAATCAATATCTTGGATGGCTTGTTGAGTTATTGTTGACCTGTACCTTCCACAGGCTGCAAATCACCAAACTCATTTAGTGCTTTGGAGACTCTGAATCTTCCTTTCTTTCCAACGTCTAAGCTTTCACGAGATTGTGCTTGGCTTCCTCTAATGTTCACCTTATGAGGAACACAATGCATCTTTGTTTTGACTCATAAACTTTTTTTCTTCCATGCTGCTTGTATCATGTCATTGTTCTTTAAAAATCCACAAGACTTCTTGTTCCTCTTGGCAGTCAGACTTTGGTCAAGGCACAAATCAACTGGTGCCCTCACTTGTTTGTCAAGCATCCTGCTCCTCCCAAAACAGCTGCACATGTGGTCGGAATATTTCCCTGGCCATCCCCACAAGCTGTGCCTCACTTCCAGGTTTTACCCACATCCCCTTCCCTAAATTCAGCTGCTTCCTTTCTCCCTTTCCTCAATAACCAAAGCCCTATGGTTATTTTAAGAATAGTACTCTTGTCTCCTAAAGCTTTTAGTAATTACTGTGACCCATTGCCATTTTTCCTCCACTCTATTTCTATACCTCTCTTAGAGCCTAGCATTTAATGATATACTCAACTGAAGATCTTATATATATGTGTGTGTGTATACATATATATATGCATATATGTGTGTGTGTACATATATGTATATAAATTTCCTAGTGAAATTGTATCATATTGCTAAATTCTATTCATGGCAAGTATGCACTGAGTATCTTATGGCTTGTTCTGTAGGTTTGTAGCTTTGTACTATATAACAAAAGAGATTGAATATGGGCTACTTTGCTATTAGTTAGAAAGAAAGATTTACTTCCCAACTCCCCATAGGTTTTTTGTATGTGCAAATTTGCATAATTGACTTTTTAAACTACAAATTACTAGGTAACCATTATTTGTAGTTAGTTCGTAGCTTATCACTATAATACAGATCAGCGTTGTTATTATCTGAAACTCAGCCAAAAGGACTAAACTTTCCTCAAGGCACAAACATTTGCAACATACATTTAGTGAACTTTTTTTTTTTTGTAACCAAGCAGTAGTCTGGTTCTTCATTCTCCAAATTTAGCCCCTGAAGCGTAGTCAGACCTTAATAATTACGTCTCAGCACAAACTTTCTTCACTACATTCTAATGAGATACGTGATATTTAAAGTTATTACCTGACAGGACAATTTTGATTGTTTAGGAAAATACATACCATTACTAGTATATTTGATCATTTTATTTTAGTAAAATATTCTAACTTAGAGATGTGTGAAAATAAAATACTATTCAATGGTATAAAATCCTGTCTGTTTAGAACTTCTCTTTAAATAGCTTTTGTAGATTAAATATTTTTAAGCGATGGGAGACACTAAGTCATTGACAAAAGTGAAGTAAAATAAAACTAAGTGTAATAATCTTTATTTTTATCTAAAAGGTAGTTCAATTTATGAATCAAAAAAGACCAGGGGATATTTAATTACAACTATGTTAACCAATGGCTTAAGAATATACTATTTTTCCTCTGTTCTAGGTGAGGACTACATAGTAAAGACATTTCTGGAAAGATCTGAAATCCTGACATTGACCCGTCATGGCCACTGGATGTCACTAAGACCAATAATATGGATGTGAGCCAAAATGTTCATGAAAGATTACATACTAGTATTTCATTTTATTTCAGATTTATTCTCCACACCAGAAAATTCAAAATCTTACAAGATACAATTGATTTATAAGGAGCAGAGACAGGAAAAATAGACATATATCACAATGATGGTAAAAAATAAAATGGTAATAGAAAAAGGAAGACATGGATTATAACAAATTTCAGCATGACTCCAATAGCTAAGTTTACTGTAGTAGGCACCCATTTGTCTTAATTAATGGAGCTAAAACTAACTGGAATCCAAGTTGTTATGCTTAATGCAGAATCCAAACTTAAAATGCGCCTTATATCAATTATTAGTTCTTATCTTATTTTCTTAAACAGGGTTAAGCGCTTTTCAGTTTCTGTCTGTAATGGGTTGAATTCATATGGTGATGCCCTAACTCCTTGCGCTTAAGAATGTGATTTTATGTGTAGACAGGGTCTTTACAGAGGTCAGGTTAAAATAAGGTCATGAGTGTAGACTTTAATCCAATATGACTGGTGTTTTCATAAAAAGAGAAATTTGGACACAGAGATATACATTGAAGGGAGACCTGATGAGGAGAAGGAGGAGAAAATGACTATGTGTAAACCAACAAGCCAAGCCTGGAATGGATGCTGCCCTCACAGCCTTCAGAAGAAACCATGTAATTCCCCTCACTACCTTGTTCAGTAGTTATGGTTTCCTCCTTTATTCAGGTAAGGTTTACAGATAAGTGAATTATAAAAGGAAGACTTTATCTAAATTCAAAACCTATACTCTTTTCATAACCACAATGTATAACTCTTTTTCTCTACTATTAGACTTAAAATAAACATCTACATTTTTATAAATATGTAACATTAACTTTAATTATACTGCTGTTACAAAAACTTTTTTCTTGCATTTCTAATTTTAATAGCAATGTAAATTTTAAGCAATAATTCTAAACACATTTAAGTCATAATCCAAACATATATATTATTGTTCCAAATAAAATTTCAAATATATTATGTAGAAGATATTTTCTACGTGTTTGTAACAGCAATAATTTGGACTAATAGAATTTCAATAAGCTTGATGTGGTGGCTCATGCTATAATCTCAGTGAGCTGGGAGGCTAAAAGGTGAGGATTGCTTGAGGCCAGGAATTCAGAACAGATGGGGTATGTGACAAGACCCTGTTCATACAAAAATACAAAAATTAACTGGATGTGGTGACACACACCTGTAGTCCTAGCTACTCAGGAGGCTGAGGTGGGAGGATGGCTTGGGCCCAGGAGTTTGAGGTTACAGCGAACCATGATTGTGCCACCGTACTCCAGCCTGGAAGAAAGAGACCCTGTGTCAATCAATCAATCAATCCATAAAATTGGGAAAATGATGCAATATTTTTAAAAATCAAGCACACAGCAATGAGAAGGTTAGTTGATGATAGAAGTTGCTAGTATGCCAAGACCAGCTCAGTCGTGGAGACCCTAACCCAGTGGCACTAGAGGAATTAAAGACACACACACAGAAATATAGAGGTATGGAGTAGGAAATCAGGGGTTTAAGCCTTCAGAACTGAGAGCCTCAAACAGAGATTTACCTGCATATTTATTGACAGCAAGCCAGTGATAAGCATTGTTTCTATAGATTATCAATTAACTAAAAGTATTCCTTACAGGAAACAAAGGGATGGGCCGAAATAAAGGGACGGGCTCTGGCTAGTTATCTGCATCAGGAGCATGTCCTTAAGGCACAGATTGCTTATGCTATTGTTTGTGGTTTAGGAACGCCTTAAGTGGTTTTCCGCCCTGGGTGGGCCAGGTATTCCTTGCCCTCATTCTGGTAAACCCACAACCTTCCAGCATGGGCATCATGGCCATCACGAGCATGTCGCAGTGCCACAGAGATTTTGTTTATGGCCAGTTGGGGGCCAGTTTATGGCCAGATTTGGGGGCCTGTTCCCAACCCTAGTATAATATAGTATTTTATTCTTTAAGGATGTCAGATTCACATCTTAGAGTGGGAAAAAATAAAATGATGCCTAGGAAGTGAATTGTATGCCACCATAGGATACACAAATGTGACCATTACTATTTCTGATATAATAGATTAAAAACCTTCTCTATAAGTTATTAACAATAAGACATAAATATTCTTGTGTCTCTGGGCTTCCATTAAAAAACAAAACAAAATAATGATTCTAATGACCAGAATTATACTTACTAGAAAAAGATTGATATGATATTGCAGGAAATGCAAACAGTTCTGCCTTTGCAATTTTACTGCTTACTCTGCCACCTGTTACTAACTCTGATGCCAGCCAACTAAGCTTATGCCAATGCTCAATACACATCTCAGACTTTTCTTGCAATGACAACAAATTTGAAAGCATCTGTGTGCTTTTTTTTTTTTAAAAGTAACATTTTGGTCTTAAAGGAAGATTTAGCAAAGGCTTGAAATCATAAGTCAACATGGTCATTTATGTATGTCTTTGCATTTATATGCGGTTTTTGATAAAAGTTAAACAACCTAAATGGAACACAGATAATTTTGCTTAGAAATTCTTAAAATTGTTTTCACTGATAAGAACACCTGAGGTTTTCTGATCTGCAAGGTTATCTTCTGTCTTATGTTAATCTGATATTGTTGGTTTTTAACAAGTTTGTCTCCTATTTACTGTAATTGGTAGATGATAATTACTGACACCTTTCTACTTTTGCGATTTTTTAATAAAAGTAAATACAAATGAAATCCGTAAAACTTTGCTCAGATCCACAATATATTTCAAAATGTTTTGTTTTCTCCAACTTGCCAAACTTAGAATCTGAAGAGCTATTTGATTTCTTTGGGAGGCAGTGAATGGTCTTCAAATATCCAAAAGAAAAAAAAAAGCCTCATATGGGCTTTGAGTACCATTATTGATATTTTACTTTTAATTTATGAAAAGAAAAAGCCTGTTATTGTCATATTGTGAGTAGAGTACAAAACATAAAATGAAACATTTTGTGTTAATAAATATCAAATGTATATATGTATATTTGTTAGCACTCTGGGCAGTCATCTACAGATCTAGAAAAAGCAGATTTGGATATGTTAAGTCAAGCACTAGATCGAATACTTCACTACTTTTCAAACGTTGTGGCCGTTCTTTCGGAACATTAGAAATGCAACACGGCCATGGAAGTATTAAATGCATGAAGAGAAGTAAGCAAAAGAAAAACATGAATAGACAAACTACGTGTATCAGTAGGATGGTCAGAAGGTCCTCTGATCCTACATGCTTTACAGAAAAAGTGATTTTAGGATTATGGAGAAATCTCTCTCTTCTCTTTATGGGGCTGGGCCCACCCTCCAGGAAAGAATCAGTGCATGGCAGTGAGCTCCTTGCACAGGGACAGGGCCTTAGCATGTCCACACTGAAAAAGGGATTTCCATTCCATGAAGACCCCAGTTCCTCAGCTGCCAACTTTAACAATAATTACTTTTCACTCTGGATTAAAAAATCCAATCCGTCCTAAAGGAGGAAGAGAAATAAAGACAAGGGTGTGGATCAACAGCAAGATATATTTATTGGGAAAAATCCTGCCCCCTGGAAAAGCGTTTCTGTGTTTTGTTTTTTCCAGTTTAATTGACTAATGAAGTGTTGCTATCATCCATGGACCTCAGCTTCCCTACCTGTAAAAAAAGGGGGTTGGACAAGGTAATCTGTAAGATTTTGAGCTGCAAATTTCTATAAATTGTTGAAAGGCATGATTGTGGAAATAAATTCCCAGGATCTGAAATAGTGGAGATGGTATCAAATAAACTGATTTGTAAATCAAAAAGAGACTACTCACAATATTCAGAAGTTTACTTCTCTCTCTGTATCTGGTCAAGTAGAAAGCGGTGAGTGTGAATATCAGCAAAAATCAAGCAAACAAAGATTTTACTGCACAAATTATTTAATAGAAGCATTTGCCTTTATTATTTCCTAATAAGATCCATGCATTCTATAGGTATCTCTGATGCATATGTATTTTTTTTAAGACATGATTAATGTATTCAAAAATTTTTTTGTCTGGTGAAAAGTGTTTACATTTCCTTTGAAAATGTTTGGAATAATGGGAAACTGTCTTGATGTCTGAAGCAAATGTCATAGTCATTTTGAAACTGAAACCCTATAAAATTTATTACAGCTAGGTAAAATTTCATTTTCAAAGATAAATTAATCAAGGGTCACTAGCGAATATACCTAAATTCTAGTTTCTACTATTTTTGTCAATTTTCTTGGAATCTTAACATATTATCTAGTGACATTTCACATCTGAATAAATGTTATATGTATTTTAATTCCAAAATACTGTATTATGCTTTTGTTGATTATACCATCACTAAAATCTATAGACCACTAACATAGAAATTACAATCAACCTTTTAACTTTGAATTAAGTACTGCAATTTTGAATTAAAAATATGAGCTTTAAAGCGGTAATTTATTTAAATTTTTCTTTATACTATAATGTGGCTAAGAAAAGGACTTGTCCAACTACTTTTCCAGGATCTGAAACTAGGACAAATAGAAAGTGCATTTCACGTAAATACAAAATATATTTTATATGTTTTTACAATGTAATTTATTCATTTGTCTAAGAAAGTACTTTCCAATAGAAATATGATAGCCATATATGTAATTATAAATTTTCTAGTGCCCAAATTAAAAAAGTAAAACAAAATAGCAGAAATTAATTTTAGCAACATATTTTATATATCCAACATTTTATCATTTCAACTTAAGATATATTGCTTTTCTTTCTTTTTTACCAAGTCTTCAAAATCTGTGGCACACTTTGTACTTACAGCACGTCTCACTTAAGTCACTACATTTTCATCAGAAATACATGATCTATATTAAGATTTCATAAAATTTGCAGTTGAAAAAGTAGATTTACATATTTATATTCAACTTGTCCCAGACATACTTAAACATTTTCTAACCACAAAACCAAGTATTAAGAAAGCACTTTCTGGCCGGGCGCAGTGGCTCACTCCTGTAATCCCACCACTTAGATGGCAGAGGCAGGTGGATTACCTGAGATCAAGAGATCAAGACCAGCTTGGCAGACATGGTGAAACCCCATGGCTACTAAAAATACAAAAATTAGCTGGGCATAGTGGTGGGTGCCTGTAATCCCAGCTACTTGGGAGGTTGAGGCAGGAGAATTGCTTGAACCTGGGAGGTGGAAGTTTCAGTGAGGCAAAATCATGCCACTACACTCCAGCCTGGGCGGCAGAAAAAAAAAAAAAAGAAAAAAAGCACTTTCCTTTACTAGTTGCATCTACCCTTACCAAGCTGATTCTTTCTTCCTTTTTTTTTTTTTTTGAAAAATTGATTTAACTTTGAGACTTTGAAATAAAAGCATATTATTTTTAAAATGATATCTGTCTATGTTCGGTAAATTCACTAATTCTTTTTCCAGCTCAGGATTATTACATCAAACTCACTCAAAGGGATATTGCACAAATTAAAAGTCAACTCTAGATTTATTAATAGAGGTTGAGTATCTCTTACCTGAAATGCTTGAGGGCAAAAGTGTTTTGGATTTCAGGGTTTTTGGTATTTTGGAATATGTGCATATACATAATGAGATATCTTGAAGATGGAACCCGAGTCTGAACCCAAAACTCATTTATCTTTCAAATATACCTTAAACACATAGCCTGGAGGTAATTTTTTTACAGTATTTTTAATAATTTTGTGCAAGAAACAAAGTTTTGACTGTCTTATTGTGACTTTTGATGAAGTTAGGAGTGGAATTTCCCACTGCTGGCGTAGTGTCTGTGCTCAAAATGTTTTGAATTCTGGAGGCTTTTGGATTTTTGGAAATATATAAGGATCCAAGCTGTATTATGGTTGCCTAAAGTTACAAGTTTAATTCTGTTCAAAAATTAATAGAAAAAAATTTTGACATTTTCATTAGGATTTTAGGTGATTAATTTTGACAATTTGAGAGCAAAGTTCTTACTACATTCACTAAGTAATTGCAGAAAACATCTTTTTGCACTGGGCATTTTATTGTCTTGAAAGATATTTTCACACAACTAAGGACTTTTTCAATTTGCTCTACCACAGAAATTTGCCATTTTCCTTCATCAAGAAATTTCAAAACAGCTTCCAGACTTGTTTTTTTCACTGATTCAGTTGGAACATGAACTTCTGCATCTTGACTTGATTATGCATCAATAGTGTGCCTTTATTTTAAACTGAAAAAAAAAAACCTCTGCATACACATTTTAGAAAATACATTATTGATTATAATTATAATAGTAATGAATATTCAAATCAGTTACCAATTATAATTTACATAGGTATCACTGTAATTCCTATTGACTGTAAGAAACATTTAAGCAAACATGTTACAATGTTTTACTGGTGCATAGAGGTCAGGAGTTCGAGACCAGCCCGGCCAACATGGTGAAACACCGTCTCTCCTAAAAGTACAAAAAATAGCCAGGCATGGTGGCACGTGCCTATAATCCCAGCTACTTAGGAGGCTGAGGCAGGAGAAAGGCTTGAACCTAGGGGGAGCGGGGTGGGGGTGGGGGACAGAGGTTGCAGTGAGCCAAGATCACGCCATTGCACTCCAGCCTGAGCAACAGAGCAAGACTATATCTCAAAAAAGAAAAGAAAAGAAAAAAATATTCCAACTGAACCAACCTGTATTAGGCCATTCTTGCATTTTAGCATTGCTATAAATAAATACCTGAGACTTGGTAATTTATAAAGAAAAGAGGTTTAATTGGCTCATGGTTCTGCAGGTTGTACAGGAAGCATGGCACTGACATCTGCTTGGCTTCTGGTGAGGCTTCAGGAAGATTACCATCATGGTGGAAGGGAAGGAGAGCTGACATGCCACATGATGATAACAGGAGCAAGAACTGGGGGGAGGTGCCACACTTTTTTAAATGACTAGATCTCACTTATCTCCAAAGAGATGACTCTAAGCCATTCATGAGAAATCTGGCCCTGTGATCCAATCACCTACTACCCGGGCTCACCTCCAACAATGGTGGTTATAATTCAACATGAGATTTAGAGGGGACACATATCCAAACTCTATCACAATCTGTTGACATCAATTAGATTGTTGATGTGTTCATGGAGAACACTAGTAATGAAGCATGTGCCCCACTTACACACAATACAGGAATATCTAATGTGCTGCAACTTTTAAAGTACAATAAAGTTCTACAACAATATTGTGTTTATCAGGAAAATAATTTAAAATGCTTCAGTTGTAATTCAAATTAAATAAAATTAAAAATTCAATTACTTAGTTGTACTAGCCATATTTCATATGCTTCGTATTTACATGTTGCTAGTGGATACTGTATTAATCAATGCAGATCTAAGAGTACTGGCAATACATGTATATTATTATACATGTACTGAAAATTACTATACTGATTTTCAACACTGAATAATATTAAAAAGTATACTGATTTTTGATTGGGCTAAAATATTACATATTATTTCATAATAATTCAAACAATCATTTTTAGAGTCATGCATTTTACTTTAAGACATTGGGTAATACTAATTTTGAAAGCCTATATAAGTTTTTATTTTTTATTAAATAAATTTTAAAACTATACATTCTGAAATACATTTCAGAAAAATATAATAATATTTAATTAATTAGAAAGAATAGCTTGTTTAAATAACCCAAGAAGTAAATTGAAAGCATTGTATAACATTTTCTTTGAGAAAGCATTTTATCATTAATTTTTGTTACTGGTGAGTGGTAAGCACTCCTGGCCATAGAGTATAATATAATAATAAGTAGCACATATCGATTAGATGAGCTATCAAAAAATTTACGGGTGTCACTAGGGGTGTCTTGTTATTTTTAAAGAACTTTATAAACTCAACATCATTGTGTCTACATTTGTTAGATGATTCATTCAAATTATTTTCTATGGATGGGTGACAGTGAAACAGTTGTCTTAATGACAGAACTCTGCTCAATCAGGGCTACTAAGTGTCACTATTGTTATTAGTAAACATGACATATTAAACTTTTTTTCTGTTTAGTAAAAAAAGATTAAAAAACAGTCTAAATTTTTGCATCTATATTTTCACAAAAGTTAAACCTCATCTTCAGATCACATATGACAATTTTTGCTTAAGTAGTATTTTCGACAAGAGAATTGGTATTTGCTAATGATAGGTTTATTCAAAATATCAATACTAAAACTAAAAGCCTAATTTTATTGATGATATACTACCTTAGGGATATATAATCATCTCTGGAAGTCAACATTTTACTAGAATCATCTGAAATTTGAAAAAAAAAAAAAAAACAAAACTCAAGCTATAATGAAATGACAGCTAGTGCTCATCTAGAATTTAGCAAGTATCTGGATGTTTGGCATCACATATGAAAGTACCAGATGGTTGACTAGATTTCTCACTTTTCATTTGGATGTTTTTCCCAAGAGTTTCATTCAGTTTTAATGTTCATTCACGAAGACAATTTGTGGCAGACACATAACTTTCAGGGACATTCTTATCTTCTATTAACAGAACATGACTCATATTCGGGCATGCCATCTTTCAGGAGATTAAAATATCATTAGTACACAATCAAATTATGTGCATATTTACGTTTTCTGGTCAGAGAAAAACACCAAACTGGTTTTGTTTTTTTTTGGTCTCTCTCTTTACTCTGACAATCAACAGAGAACACTCCTGTGACCAGATGTGTGGGGGTGATTCCCTGCACACCAAACAATTCTCTGGTGGACACCATCTGGGAGTCCCACAATTTAACTCAATGTTGATACTATCTACCAGGAGTCAGAGTCAGATCCCGCAAGTTAAAGGTCAGTTTCACAAGACCAACCCCATTTCAGAGGCCAATAGCAAGCCCAGGGTTGTGTGACCTGTGCTTCTGACCAAATGGCTACAAATTGGGGATTCCTATGACCCCATTCTCAAGTTAATTTGCTAGAATGACTCACATAATTCAGGAAAACACTTTACGAATGTGTACCTATTTATTATAAAGGATATTAGAAAGAATATAGATAAACAGCCCTATGAAAGAGATGCATAGGACAACCATCATTCTCAGCAAACTATCGCAAGGACAAAAATACCAAATACCACATGTTCTCACTCATAGGTGGGAATTGGGGAATTGAACAATGAGAACACATGGACACAGGAAGGGGAACATCACAACTGGGGACTATTGTGGGGTGGGGGGGAGGGGGGAGGGATAGCATTAGGAGATATACCTAATGCTAAATGATGAGTTAATGGGTGCAGCACACCAACATGGCACATGTATACATATGCAACAAACCTGCACGTTGTGCACATGTACCCTAAAACTTAAAGTATAATAATAATAAATAAAAAAAAAGAAAGAGATGCATAGGACAAAGCGAGAAAGGGTGAGGAGTTTCCATGCCCTCTCTAGGCACATCATCTCCCAGGCATCACCACATATTCAGCAACCCGGAAGCTCTCTGAACTCCGCCTGCCTGTTCGGGATTTTATGGAGGCTTTGTTACCCAGGCATGATTGATTATGTCTTTGTCCATTGGTAATCATCTCAACCTTAGCTTCTTTCTCCTCCCCAGAAATTGAGGGGTGGGTCTGATAGTCCCAAGTCTCTAATCATGATCTTTTTCATGGCCTGCCCTCATCCTAATGTTATCTGAGGCCCCCAGCCACCAGTTTACTCATTAACATTCAAAAGACACTTCTATCACTCTGGAGATTCCAAGGGTTTTAAGGAGTTGTGATCCAGAAACTGGGGACAGAAAGCAAGTACACATTTCTTATTATATCCCAGTGTTACACTTGGTAACCACTTTAAACTTAACCTGTGCTTTACAAGATCTCAAAATACAAGTTAACTATATCTCAGGTGCATGTTACTGTACTGAATAGTGTAAGAAAGTACTAAGACAATGGCAAGTATGTATGTGATAGGAATTTGTCAGCTCCATTATAACCTATGGGACTACCAGTGTATATGTGATCTATCATCGACTGAAACATTATTATGCAGCACATGACTGTATAAAGAACAATAATTAAAGATAGTTTCAAAAAAACTATAAGTTAAACCCAGAGCTCATAAAGGGGGAAAACTTATAAAAATATAGACAATGATATTTGAAGGAAATCTGAATATTTGAAACACCTCATAATTGAAGGTGTGTTATTTAGTCTGATTTGCATGATTTGTCTCTCTGTTCGTACTAAATAATCATCAACTTTCTTTGTCTGCTTTGCGCTGTGAGGCAGTAGGCATGACATGAAATACAACAATCTGGGGATATTGCGTTTTACCTTCTGGAGTGCTGGCTGACAGCAACTGGATTGGGATAGCTTTTAACACATGAAATGAAATGTTAACAGTTTATAAATATTGTTTTTTCATGGGAATAGAAGTGATGGAAAGGCAGCTCCCTTTTATGTCAAAGTCGATTAAACTGTAGATGTGTTAATAAAGAAGCTAGCAAAATTTAGAGTGTGTTTGTATAGAAATGCTCATTTAGGTTACTGAATAAGCACTAGAATTGGGAAACCTGGTTCTGGGCACGACATTAAATATTTCTAAGCATCAGTTTCCTTGTCATCTCTAACATGTACTTGGAATATGCACGCATCATTTATAAAATATACAACCTCTGCTAAATGCTTGTGAAAGTTCTTTAAACAAATCCACCATTCAAGGATAAGATATCTGTCATTAATATGGAAGATTGCATAACTTGCTGCACAAGAGATTCAACCTCATTTCCCTTTAGACTAATTCTGTGCTGACAAATAGAGGGACTTGACAATTCACTGATCCCTTCAACCTCTGCTTAAACAGCCCATACATGCCAATAGGGAAGCATGCACTTTCATGCACGAGAGCCGCTGTTGGAGTGTAGGGGGTGGGGCAGCTCTCTGATAGTTCTCTCCAGCCAAAGGCAACCTTGCAGTGCTAGTCGTAGTAATTGGCTCTTACTGCATGTTTAGCTACCAGTCTTACAATGTTACATTTTGCTAATGAATCATTGACACCTCTGCTTAGCTCCCGAGATTTGGTGTCACCCTATTGACAGCCAGGAATCCCATATTTTAATTATTTTGGCCATTAACTTATCAACTATGTTTTTGGAATTGTTAACGGAGGAAAGGAAAAAGTACAGATTGGGTTGTAATGAAACCAACACTTTAGAAAAGAATTGTGTAAGGCCTTTTATTGTGGCCATCAAAATTACAGATTTTCTCATTTATGGGTGGAGTAGCAAATGCCAGCTACTATTTAAGGACATTTAATCAATATGTGCCCTAAAAATTCATAATTTTTATTAGAAGTGGAAGCTGGATCTAGTTCATTTGAAAACAAAAAGGTAGAATACAGTAATCTAATCCTTGGAGACTCAAGAATGAACACAAAAATTAATATGCCTCTGATGTTCTTAACAGCTAGAAGCAAAATATGTAAAATAATATCAGTGATACATATTATATAAAACCATTGAAAATGATTAGGTTTTGGTGTGGAAGTTGAGAAAACAACATGTTCAAATTAGCCCATTTTTATTAACAGTGGTTAATGAAAAAAGAAAATAATTACTCTGGTAAATTATAAAACCCTTCATTTCTGAAAAAAGGATTGAATTGTCATAGTAACATCCAGCAAATCACCTTACCCAGGAAAACAAAAATCAATGTAGACTTTTCCTGATTCTTGATCCCAAATCACATAGAATCTGACACTAGATTTGTTTCTTTAATAGCTCACTGTCTTAGTTTATTTGGGCTGCTACAAAAAAGTACCATGAACTGGGGAGCTTATAAACAACAGAAATTTATTTTTCACAGTTCTGGAGTTTAGGAAGTCCAAGATGAAGGCTCTGGCAGGTTCAGTGTCTGGGGAGGGCCTGCGTTCTGGCTTAGAGATGGTACCTTCTTGCTGTGTTCCTCACATGGCTGAAGAGGCAACGCAGCTCTCTGGGGTCTCTGTCATAAGGACATTAATTCCATTCATAAGGGATCTACTCTCATGATCTAATCATTTTGCACTGGCCCCACCTCCTAGTACTGTTACACTGCGGGTTAATGTTTCCACATAGGAATTTTGGAGGAGACACAAACCTTCAGATCATCGCACTTACATATTTGGTTCTCCTCTTAGCCATTGCCGCTATTGCTTAATGCATGCTCATCTACTTGCAGGGCTCCAGCAATAATCTGAAGCTGCTATTCCTGGTCTCCTGGCCTGCACTTCATATGCCATTCCTTCCTCTAAAACCATTTCCATTCAGTTTTCTCATTGCCTTAGTAATGGGGACCTTGCATACAAATCCTTTAGTGATTTTTCCCCTGATCATTTTTTTTTACATCTTATTTGCTGCTGCCTCTAACCCCTTCTATTCAACCTCATTCTTCCTTAGTGCTCTCTGTGACCTTCAGTGTATCAGCCGAGCAGAAACACTCGCAACTTCCTTCTGCATGACGTGCTCCTTTGTGGTATCTGCTCAGGCTGCTCTTCTGGAGTGAAATTATTCTTCCATCTGATTACCTGGTGAATATTTACTCCAAGGTCAGACGACTTAGACAAGCTTCCTGATTCCCTGATTCCGCACAGGAAAGATCAGCCATGTGTATGTCTCCTGTGTTTTCCATTATACTTTGTAATTATGTCCTGCACTTATTCGTTTCAGTTTATTTCTCATACTTTCATTTATCAATTACTTCCTATGTGCAATATACTACCTTATTCATTTTTGTGTTTCTGGCATTAAGCACAGTTCCTGGCATATGGCAGATACTGGAGGAAAATAGCGCTTGAACTGAGAAGGGAATGGTGACAGCAGGTCACTAGTCACAAAAGAGAGTAGGATGTGACATAATGAAGGCAACAGATATTGTGGGAGAGGCAAGTCAGGTCTTGGATGGCTTTGTTTATGTTGCTAATTGTACAGATTGGCTTCTGTAGGTTATGGGGATAATTTTCCAAAAATGTGAGTGATATTACGTGGAGACTTTTGGAAACATCAGTATGGTAGATGTATCTGAAGTGGACCTGTTGGGGAGAGAGCATGGAGAAGCAAATTGATGCGGAGATGTAAAGTAAGACAAGAAGCAGATGGATCAGTGAGAATCCCACTGCAGTATTCTAGGTAGGAGGTGATTATGCCTGAAGTAGAGTAGTGGCAGTTGAAATGGAGAAGAAAGAGGTATATAAGAACCATATTTAGGTGGTCATAAATTCATGTGCAAGTATGTGCTTTGTTATGGTAATTGGGATATAGAGGGACCTAGAATGATTCCCAGGTTCTAGACCACTGGGAAGAAATGCCTTTATATAAGTTTGCAAACAAAGGAGGAATGGCAGGTGAGAAGGAGATGAGTAGAGTTTGGAAAATGTTGACTTGCAGGCTGACTTAACGATGCTTGTGGAATCACCAATTGAAGTCCTAGTAGAGAATAAAGCAGTGTTGTTCAGAGATCATGAGAAAGAGCTAGGGTAAAGAAAGAGAACCAACGTGCATAGAAGAAATTGCCTGGGTATAATTTAAAATGTGAGAAGAGGAGGTGGAGAAAATAGCCTTAAAGAATATACTTAGAGGGGGGAAAAAAAGGAATAGAGACGGAGAAGTCCCCTATCTCTCCAAAGTTTAAGAATCCAGAAAATATTGTTTTCAATAAACCAAGAGAAGAAATATTTTAAAATAAATGTGTGGTTTGTAGCCAAAAAAATAAAGAAACACAATTTTAAAAAATGAAAAAAAAAATCACTTAGATTTTGACTGTTAGGCTCTCTGAGATTTTAGAGAGCAGTTTTAAGGGAGTGGTTGGAATATTGTCCTTATTTAATGGGTTGAAGTTCAAATGAATGTCAAGTGCTAGAGAGAGATAGCAAAATTGTATTTTCTAAAAATATTGCTGTTAATAGAAGGAGAAATAGGGTGATGGCTAGGGATTTAGGTGTGTTAAGGGAGTCATATGTAAGTTCAAGGGAAATTTTCTTCTCTGTTCACAGTACTGTGTTTGCCTTCATATGCTTTTTACTGTTCCTTCTTTTTTTTTTTTCTGGTCTCATTTCCTAAAGATATAGCAGATTATTTTCACGTAAAATCTTACTTATTTCTCTAGTAGCTCTTCTTTCAGAGTTCCCCCCCTCCGCCCCGCCCCCGCCGCCATGGCTTTCTTCAATATAAACTTATATCTGCAAAACAAAACAAAACAAAACTCATCTCAAATTCTCATCCTTGATCCTAGCCTGCTTTCATTTTATATTTCATAGTGTGAACATTTACATTTGGATAATTTTTTTTTTTTTTTTTTTGCCCAGGCTGTTGCCTAGGCTGGAGTGCAGTGACACAATCTCAGCTCACTGCAACCTCTGCCTCCCAGGTTCAAGCAATTCTCATGCCTCTGCCTCCTGAGTAGCTGGGATTACAGGCACGAGCCCTGCTAACTTTTTGTACTTTTAGTGGAGATGGGGTTTCACCATGTTGGCCAGGCTGGTGTCGAACTCCTGGCCTCAAGTGATCCGCCCGCCTCTGCCTCTCAAAGTGCTGGGATTACAAGCATAAGCCACCATGCCTGGCCTACATTTGGATAACATTTTGGCAGTACTAATCTAGTAGTCATAAAATGGAACTTGCCCATAACCCCCAAGATATTTGATCTACCACCTTTGTCACTTTTCTGATTTGGGATAGTAACTATCTACTTCTGCCAAGTCACCAGTCCCTTACTTGTTCTTTGTAATGCCTTTTCCATCTGTCCTGTTTTTATTTTTTCTGTTGTCACTGCCTTATTTAGTTTCTAATCTTCCTTGCTAGCATACTATAATTACCTCCCTGACAACAATCTCAAAAATAAAAACAACCAGAAAGATTTGCTGGCCTCTAATGCATTATTTTGATTATACCTCTTTTTTATTCAAAAACCTTGAATGGCTGACTATGCATAGTACTATGTATGTTAAGATTAACCTCAAAAAAGTTAATTATATCCAATGATGAATAAAGGTTTGATAAGTAACTTAATCAACAAAGAATCATAACCTGTAGTTATAGAATTGGGCCCTGGAAGAACAGCAAATGACTCAAGGTTTAAATAAGCATCTATTTTAAAGAAAAAAATAGATTTCAGGTAACAGTCATTTACCTGTAATCACATTAAGTACAAAGAATTGTAAAAATTTCCCTTCTGCTAGTAATTAGTATATTTCATTTGATTAATTCAGGAAAACCTGCCAGACAATCCTCATTGTCCAAAAAAAAAAAAAAAAAAAAAGAGGCAGAATGAAGTGTTAAGATGTGTGTCTGTGACTATCTGGCTCTTCACTCTTTACTATTTTAAGTTAGTATTCATGATCTCTAAGACACAGTCATCCGAGTTTAGCTTTCAAAAACATCCGGCCAAACAAGCCCATGTCTAGTTGCAGTCACTTCCTCTCCATTCCTACTATTTCCTTCAGACTTAAACTGCAATATCAACTCCTTCCTGGCTGGGTTTCCAGTTTGACAGCTTTCAGACTTGACCTATAAGATTGGCTCTTTTCTGTGTCTGCAGCCTGATGACCTTCAGACTTGAACTGAAGCATTATCTCTTCTCTGGGTTTCTACCCTGCCAGCCCACTCTGTAGATTTTGGATATGCCAGCATCCTTAATCACATGAGCAATTTCTTAAAGTAAGTTTCTTTCTATATAAATACACATGTCCTATTGGTTCTGTTTTCCTAGAGAATCCCAGCTAAGACAGATTTTGGTACCAGGAGTGGTTGTAGAGAAACCAGTATCTTAGAGATATGTTTTCTGAATTGGTTCTAGGTTTCTGCATTTGGCTCTCTAATCTTATTAGATTTAAACACTTTAATGACTCTATTGCAGTCATAAAGAGAGCACTGATAGTCTATAATGTGATGTGGCAACACAGATACGAAAAATGTCACCAAGGAATACTCCTAATCAAACATTCGTAAGAGGCAAAGGTATGATTAACAATGTATATGATACCTTTAAACATTTTTGTCACACTAATGAGTCAGGAGATTGACTGCTTATTTCTAATGTTGCTGGAGAAAGTGGAGAAAGAAAATAATAATTTCAAGGATTTGAATTCCTAACTTAAGTGCTGTATAAATGACCTGAAAGCATGTACCCTGAAGGACAGCTTTATCTTCTGTAGCTGCAGGGCTGGGATTGCTGAAAACTAAGCCTAAAATCTCATCTTTCCAGTGGCTAAAGCACAAAATAAATTACATTCCCATCTGTCTTGGTCCATTTTCCTGATGCTGTAACAGATTGGCACAGACTAGTTAAATCATAAACAACGTAAATTTATTCAGCTTATAGTTCTAGAGGCTGAGAAGTCCAAGAACGTGGCACTGGCATCTGGTGAGGGTCATCTCACGGCATAGGGCAAGAGGCAGAAGCAAGTGCTTGAGACACAGAGAAGCACCAGGGGCTAGACTTTCTTTTTAACAACTTTCTCTGGTGATAACTAACTCACTCCTGTAGTAACAACATCAATACATTCATAAGTGTTTCACCCTCATGATAGAGTCACTTCTTATTAGGCCCCAATACTGTTGCACTGGGAATTAGGGCTTCAATACAGAAACTTTTGTGGAACACATGCAAAGCATAGCACCAACCTTGCAGGGTGTCCGTTGTTAAAGTTAGGGCATTGACTGGGAAAGAATGAGATCCTAAAAGTTGGAATGAAGACATTTGGGAAGACCCTGATGAAACTGCAAATACTGAGCCTCTAAATTCTAACAAGTCTTCTTTGCAAGTAGAAGAAGCCTCTCCATCCATATTTGAGAAGATCCATGCCTCATTGCCTGTGGAAATGGTAATGACTTCCCCTGAAGCAGTTGCCTTGCAAGAGAATGCTGATTCTTCTTAGGGCCACCCCCATAATCCATCCTTGCTTCTAGAACTATAATAGACTCAAGTCTCATCAGGTTCCTACAGTGAGTTACAATGTTTGACCCATGAAGAAGTGTGTTGCATTTCAAAAGATCTACTTTATTTTTCAAATGTATACAGATAGAAATCCTAAAAATATGTATGGGAATGGATATTAAATGTGTGGGATTATGTTGGAAGGAACATAAAGAAAGAACAGGTTGAATTTATTCATATGGGCCCACTAAGCAGAGCTTATGCATTTAACACTGCAGCTCAGGAAGTTAGAAAGAGTTATTGTGTTTCCAGTTTTGTGCAAGATAGTTGTGCCATGTTAGATGGAAATATGCCCTCCCTTTCACGGTAGTCACCCTGGAAGGCTAGTGCTTTAGCTGAAATGTGTTCCCCGAAAGTTCATGTGTTGAAAACTTAATCCCCAAGGCAAAGTCATACTGTCTTTATCTGGAGATTAAGTATGGTTTAAGGAGATGCATATGAGTGAAAGTTTACAAGAAGTGGTCTTGTAATGGTTAATTTTATGTGTCAACTTGGCGGGGACTTGGTGCCTAGATATGTGGTCAAATATTATTCTGGAAGCTTCTGTGGGGCAATTTTTGATGAGATTAACATTTAAATTGGTGGATGTATTAGGGTTATCTAGAGGGACAGAACTAATAGGATGTATGTATCTATGAAGGGGAGATTATTAAGGAGAACTGACTGACATGATTACAACGTAAAGTCCTACGATAGGCCATCGGCAAGCTGAGGAGCAAGGAAGCCAGTAGTGGATCAGTCCTAGTCTCAAAGCCTCAAAGTAAGGAAACTGACAGTGCAGCCTTCAGTCTGTGGCTGAAGGTCTGAGAGGCCTTGGCAAGCCTCCAAAGTCCAAGAGTCCAAAGTTGAAGAACCTGGAGTCTGATGTTCCAGGGCAGGAAGCATCCGGCACAGAAGAAAGAAGATGGCCGGGATACTCAGCAAGTGTGCTCCTTCCACCTTCTTCTGCCTGCTTTTTTAAGCTGCGCTGGTAGCCAGGTGGGGGATGGCACCCACCCAGATTAAGGGTGGATCTACCTCTTCCAGCCCACTAACTCAAATGTTAATCTCTTTTAGCAATATTATGCATACACCCAGAAACAATACTTTGGATTCTTTAATCCAATCAAGTTGACAGTTAATATTAACCATCACAGTGGACATTAAGCAAAGCAGATTGCTCTCCATAATGTGGGGAAGGGGAGTATCATTCAATCAGTTGAAGGCCCAAATAGAACAAAAAGACTGACCTCCCCTGAGCAAGAGGGAATTCTGCAGCAGATGGCCTTTGGACTTGTAATACAACACCAGCTCTTCTCTGGGTTTCTAGCCTGCAACCCACCCTGAAGATTTTGGACTTGCCAGCCTTCTTAATCCAATAAGCCAATTTCTTAAACTAAATAAATAAATAATAAAAAAGTGAAGTGTATGTGTGTCTGTGAGGGTGTGTAATCTTTATCCCATTGGTTCTGTTTCTCTGGAGAACAGTGTCTAATATAGTAAGCAAGAGATTTTGCCACCAGGTAATGCTATATACAATGAAGGTATGCACAGGTTCACCATACTTACAATCTAATTTGTTCTGGGACAATAGTCACAAGATCATGTTTGTAAGTCAAAAATTTTCTGTATTGGTATTTGCTGTATTATTCTCTGCCCTTGCCCTTTCCAATCCATCTTGCACAATGCAGCCAGAGGAGCTTTTTAAAAGCACAAATATGAAGATTTTGTTACCTCCTTTTGTAAAATCATTTAATAATTCCATATAACCGTTTGAAAAATCCAAACTCCTCAGTGTGTTCCACATGGCTGTGTGCCTCTCCTGTCCCTTCTGTCCTCATACCCCATGATCCCACTGAGGAGAGCTATCTGTTGTGTTCTATGTCCACCAATGATGTATTTCCACTTGTAGCCCTTTTTATCTTCCAGCTGTTGCTTTTGCCTAGCATATTCTCTCTCCACTGATTTTTCTACTTATCTTTAAAGTCACAGCTCAAGTAGTCCAAAGGACATCCTTTCCTTCTTGTTTTGGCTAACACTGAATATTTTTTTACTCTGTGTCCCCACAGAGCTGTTATAGGCAACTAGGGCTCATGGCATCTTGATTTCCCCCTCCTATCCTATCTTTCCATATCTAACCCTACATCCTGTACTAGAAGTGGTGACAAGTACTTATGTTTACCACTGCCTAGGGGCACAATATGGATACCAGTCTCAACAATGGCTATTTCTAAAAAAGTCTTATTCTTGCTTGATCAAGCAGAGACAATCCATACACCACTGAAACAAACAATAAATTTAACAAAGGCATTCTGTAGGTGGCAAAGACTTATGAAAAACCATGGCAATACAGCAAATAAAAAATGTTTTCGACTTGAGCAAAGAGAATTAGATCATGTTAGAGAGAACTGCTGATAGGACAAAAGAGTTCACAGTGAATTGCAAGTATCTTCAAAGCAGATTCTAGAACTGGGATCTCTGATGATCCTCATTCAGGAAACTTGCAAGTTCGGAGTCATCTGTACATTATTGATTCATATGCTTTGTAAGATTTCCTCCTACTGTTTTTGTAAATAAATCCGTTTTTCTCTAAGAGAATGACGGCTCTCTTATAGGAAAAAAACAGTGTCTGAAAGGAAGGATCGTTGAAGAAATATTCGGTGAATAAGTGAATGAAATAATGGAAGCAGACAATAAAGGCTTACCTAATAAGTCTGTGGTTGATTGCAATAGTAAATGAGAATCTGCAAAATGAGCCTCAGTAATCTCCAGGGTGGAGAGAATTAAAGGAACGAACATTTCCCTGTCTACTATTGATCGCCTGCTCTTGTCCTGCCTTGGTGAGAGGCACTTAAAGTTATTTCATATGACCTTGATAACAAAAATAAGAGGTAAATATTATTTCCATTTTGTAAGTAATGGATATCAGTCTCAGAGGAGCCAAATAACGGCCATGGGAGGAGACGGGGTGCTATTATTCCCCATATGGTTGGGGTGGGGGTGCTGACACCCCTGCCATGTGGATCGTAATGGCCGGGGGTAGGGAGAGGGGGGTTCTATTACTCCCCATATGGCGGGGGGGGGGGGGTGCCTGATCCCCCCCCACCATGTGAATCGTAATAGCCAGGGGGAAAGAGAAGGGGGCTATTCCTCTCCATATGGCGGAGGGTGCCTGAACCCCTGACATGTGGATCATTATAGCGGGGGCGTGGGGCCATTACTCCCCATATGGCAGGAGAAGCCTGATCCCCCCCCGGCCATGTGGATCGTAATAGCCAGGGGGGGAGGGGGGGCGCTATTCTACCCATATGGCGGGGGGTGCCTGGCCCCCCCGAAATGTGGATCCTAATAGTGGGGGGGGAGAGGGGGTAGCTATTCATCCCCATGTAGCGGGGGATGCCGGAATCCCCCCCATGTGAATCGTAGTAGCCAAGGGGAAAGGGGGGGCCTATTTCTCCCTATAGGGCAGGGGGTGTCTGACCGCACCCCCCTGCCATGTGGATCGTAATAGCCAGCGGGGGAGGGGGGCGGCAATTACTTCCCATAAGGCAAGAGGTGCCTGACCCCCCAACCCCGCCATGTGTATCGTAGTAGCCGGGAGGGAGAGGGGGCTGCTATTACTCCTCATATGGTGGGGGGTACCTCACCCCCTGCCATGTAGATCATAATAGCCAGGCGGGGACAGGGGGCTGCTATTACTCCCCATATCACAGGAGGTGCCTCACCCCGCTGCCATGTGGATCGTAATAGCTAGGGGAGGAGAGGGGGGTGCTGTTACTCCCCATATGGCGGGGGTGCCTCACCCCCCTGCCTGTGGACCGTAATAGCCAGGAAGGGAGGCGGGGTGCTAATACTCCCCATATCGCAGGGGGTGGTCCCTCAACATCTTGCTATATGGGGAATAATTGTATTCTCTCCCCTCTTGGATATTAGAAACAATTTCATAGGGTGTGTGTACACAGCCTGCGATATTGAAACTAATATCATCCTCTCCACCTCCGGATATTAGGAACAATATCCCAAAATGGCTGCTTGCGAGATTTGGAGTTATATCACGCTGTGTTTCCCTGAACATTCATAGAAATCTCACAGCGTGGGTGTATACCCACTATTATATTGGGAGTATCTTCGTACTCTACCCCCTGAAAATTAGGAGCCATATCACAGAAGGGGTGTAAAGCCACTGGCGATATTTGAAGTCATATCATGCCCTCCCCCGCCACTTATTAGGAACAGTATCACCGGAGGGTGTATACCTTGGCGGTATTGGGAGTAATGTCATCATCTCTTCTTTTAGATGTTAGGAACAATATCACAGGAGGGTGTATACCTTGGCGGTATTGGGAGTAATGTCATCATCTCTTCCTTTAGATATTAGGAACAATATCAAAAGGGGTTGTAAACCCATGTATTATTGGAAGTAATATCATTCTCTCTTCTTCTAGATTCTATGAATCATTTCACAGGCGGGTGTACCCCCCTTGTTATATTTTGAGTAATGTTATCTTCTTTCAACCTGGATATTAAGAACAATATCACGTGGGGGGTGTACATCCTTTCAATATTGGTGGTAGTACCATCTTTTCCCTTCTTGGATATAAGAAACAATATCACAGGCGGGGGTACACCCCTTGCAATATTGGGAGTAATATCACCTCTCCTCTTGTGGTTATTAGGGACAAAATCACAGGGTGGGTGTACACTTCTTACGTTATTGGGAGTAATATCATCCACTCACCCCCTGGATACCAGAAACCATATCACAGAAGAGGTGTACACCCCCTGCGATATTGTCAGTAATATCATCCTCTTCCCCACTGGATATTAGGAGCAATACCACGGGCGGCGGGTACACCCACTGGGATATTGAAAGTCATAGCAGCCTCTTTCCCGCTGGATATTAGAAACTATATCACAGGTGTGCGTGTGCACCTTCTGAGATACTGGGAGTAATATAAGCCTCTACCACGCTGCATATTAGGAACAATATACAGAGAGAGTTTAGACTTCCTGCGACATTGGGCGTAATATTATGCTGTTTTCCCTGTACATTAGGAACTATATCACAGGGGTCTGTACACCTTCTGCGATATTGGGATTAATGTTATCCTCTCGCCCACTGAATATTAGAAACAATATCACAGAAGGGTGCACACTCCCTGCGATATGGCCATAATATCATCGTCTCCTTCCCTGGATATTAGGACAATATCACAAGGTGTGTACACCCCCTGCACTATTGGGAGAAATATTATTCTCTCTTCCCCTGGATATTAGGAATAATATTACAGGCGGAATGTAATATCGTTCTCTGTTAACCTGGATATTAGGAACAGTATCACGGGGCGTGTGCACTTCCTTCGATACTGGGAGTAATATCATCCTCTCCACCCATAAATAGTAGGAAAAATACCAAAGAAGGCGTGTACACCACTTGCCATATTGGGAGTAATATCATCCTCCCCTCACTTGGGTATCAGAAAAAATATCACGGGGGTGGTGTACACCACCTGCAATACTGGGAGTAATATAATGTTCTACCCCAGGGATATTGAGAACAATATCACAGGGGCGGTGTACACTCTCTGCGATATTGTAATATCAACCTCACCCCCTGCCCCTAGATAATAAGAACAATATCACAGGCGGATTATGCACCCACTGCAACATTGGGAGCAATATCATCCTTTCCCCCCTGGATATTAGGAACAATATCTCATGGGGGGTGTACAGCCCATTCCATTTTGGGAGTAATATCAATTTCTTCATTGCTGGAAGAAACAATATAACAGTGGTGATGTACACACCCTGTGATATGGCCGGTAACATCATATCACGGACTCTCCCCCGGGATATTAGGAACAATATCAAAAAGGGGTGCATACCCCCAGCGATATTGGGGTTAATACAACACTCTCCCCTCACACCCGGATATTAGGAACAACATCAAAGAAGGGGTGTCCACCCCTTGCCCTAATGACGGTAATATCATCCTCTCCCTCCCTGGATATTGAGAACAATACCACAGAGTTGGTGTACACCCACGGCGATATTGAGAGTAATATCATCCTCTACCCCCGGATATTAAAAACACTATCACAGAGGGGGTGCACACCCCCCGCGATATGGCCAGTAATATCATCGTCTGCCCCACTGGATATTAGCAACAATATCACAGGGGTGTGTACACCTCCTGCACTATTGAAAATAATATCATTCTCTCTTACCCTGGATATTAGGAATAATACCAGAGGCGGGGTGTACAAGTTCTGCGATATTGGCAGTAATATCATCCTCTCCCAACCTAGATATTAGGAACAAAATAATGGGGGGGGGTTTACACCCCGTGCGATATTGGGAGTAATATAATTCTCTCCCCCACTTGACATTAGAAACAATATCCCAGGAAGGGTGTACATCCTCTGAGATATTGAGAGAAATATCTCTCCCCACCTAAATATTAGGAACACTATCACAGGGGGTGTGTACACCCCTATGATATTGGGGGTAATAGTATCCTCTCCCTCCCTGGATACAAGGAACAATATGAAAGGGGTCGTGTACACCCCCTGTGATATGGGGAGTAATATCATTCTAATCTCCCCTGGATATTAGGGACAATATGATGGAGGGGCTGTACACCCCTTGCCATAATGTGAGTCACATCATTTCTCTTCCCCTGAATATTAGAAACAATATCACAGGAGGTATGTCCCCTGTGATATTGGAATTAATATCATCCTCTCCCCCACTGAATATTAAAAACAGTATCACAGGGATGTTGTCCACCCCTGCTATATGGACAGTAATATCGTTGTCTCCCCCACTAAATATTTAGAACAGTATCACAAGAGGGGTGTACACCCCCTGCGATATTGGGAGTAATTTCATTGTCTCTACATTTGGATATTAGGAACAATATCACTGGGGGGGGTGTGGTGTACAACCCCTGCGATATTAGGTGTAATGTTATCCTCTCTTCCCCTGGATATTAGGAGCAATATCCCGGGGGGGATGGGGGGAAAGTACAACCTCTTCCATATCGGGAGTAATAACATCCTTTCCTTTCCTGGACATTAAGAACAATATCACAAGGTGGGTGTACAGCCCCTGCGATATTGGGTGTAATATCATCCTTTCTTCCCTAGGATACTAGGAACAATGTCACAGGAGGGGTGTACAGCCCCTGCGATATCGGGAGTAATATCATCCTATCTCCCTCTCGATATAAGGAACAATATCCCAGGGTGGGTGTACATCCCCTTTGATATTGGGCGTAATAGCATCGTCCCCCAACATGGATATTGGGAATAATGTCACAGGGGGGATGTACACCTTCTTCGATATTGGGAGTAATACCATCCTCTCTCCCCGGGATTGTAGGCGAAATATCGAAGAGGTTTTACAACGCGTGAGAAATTGGGAATAATGTCATCCTCTCCCCACCTAGATATTAGGAACTATACCACAGGGGTCTGTACAATTCTTGCAATATTGGGAGTAATATCATCCTCTCCCATCATGGATATTAAGAACGATATTACAAAGGAGGTGTACACCCCCTGTGATATTGAGAGTAATACTATGCTCTCCCCTTCGGGGTATTAGGAACAATGTCACAGGAGGTGTATACAGCCCCTGCGATATTGCCACTAGTATCATCGTCTCCCCCCCGGGATATAGGAATAATATAACAAGGGGGTGTATACCTCCTGCGATATTGGGAGTAATATCTTCCTCTCCCCCACTGGCTATTAAGAACAATGTCACACAAAAGGTGTACACCCCCTGCTATACTGGGAGTGATATCCTCTCCATCCCTGGATATTAGGAACAATATCAGTAGGGAGTGTACACCTCCTGCGATATTGAGACTAATATCATCCTCTCGCCCCCTGGATATTAGAAACGATATCACAGGGGTGGTGTACACCCCCGGCGAAATTGGAAGAAATATCATCCTCTCCACCTTTGAATATGAGGCACAATATCACAGGGGAGGTCTACGCCCCCTGCGGTATTGCGAGTAATATCATTCTCTCCCACCCAGGATATTAGGAGCAAGATCAAAGAAGGGATGTACACCCACTGCAATATTTTGAGCAATGTCGTCTTCTACCCCCTGGCTATTAGGAATAACATCATAGGGCGGTGTACACCTTCTGTGATACTGGGAGTCATATCATTCTCTCCCCCCGGATATCAGGAAAAATAATATTAATAAATATAATAATGATTAATAGAAATCATTGACATTAATAATAACGATAAAATTATTAATATGGATCATAATGATTACTATTAGTAATTGATAGTAATAGCATTAATAATAAAATAATATCAGTAATGAATGTGACTTAATTAAATCAATAATAATGTTCATAATAAAATGATAATTAACATTAAGATAAATAATATGGAAAAATAACATTAATATCAATAATTATAACCATACAGAATCATGTAATTAAAATAATTAATTATTATTAAGAATATTATACTAGTAATTATTAACATTGATACTTATTATTAATATTAATAATTAATGATTAATAATTAACATTATTACTCCTAATACCGCAGGGGGTGTACACCTACCTGTGATATTGTTCCTAACATCCGTTATTGTTCCTAGTATCTGGAGGGGGAGAGGATGATAATAATTCCAGTATTGCAGGCTGGATTCACTCACTCTGTGATATTGTTATTAACATCCTGGCAGGGAGAGGGTGACATTACTTCCCATATGGCAGGAGGTGTACACCCACCCTGGGATATTGTTCCTGATAGCCATGGAGGGCAGAGGCTGATATTACTCCCAATATCGCAGAAGGTCTACATCCACCCTGTGATATTATTCATAATATTCAAAGGCCGAGAGGTTGATATTACTCCCAATATTGCAGAAAGTGTACACCCCCGTGTGATATTGTTCTTGATATCCAGAAGGGGAGATGATATTACTCCTCATATCGCAGGAGGTGTACACCCATTCTGTGATATCTTTCTTCATATGCAGGGCGGGAGGAGAGGTTATTCCCAATATCGCAGAAGGTGTACATCCCCCAACCCCCCGTGACATTGTCCTTAATATTCCAAGGCGGAGAGGATGATATTACTCCCAATATCACAGAGAGTGTACACCCCTCAGTGATATTGTTCCCATGATCCAGGATGGAAGAGGATGATATTACTTTCAATATCACACGGGGTGTACACCCTCCAGGGATATTGTTCCTAATTTCAACGTGGGAGAGGATGATATTACTCCCAGTATCGCAGGGGTTATAAACACCTCTTTGACATTGTTCCTAATATCCAGGGTGGGAGAGGATGATGCTCCTCCCTATATTGCAGAGGGTGTACACCCGTCTTTGAGATATTGTTCGTAATTTCTAGAGGGGGAGATGATATTACTCACAATATCATAAACACGCTGTATGTCCACTGTGGATCGTAATATCCAGAGAGAAATATTACTCCCCATATCGCGGGGGGTGTCCACCCTGCCTGTCATATTGTTTCTTATATCCAACGGGGAGAGGATGATATTATTACCAAGATCGAAGAAATGTACACGCACCTTGTGATATTGTTCCTAATATCCACGTTGGGAGAGGATGATATTACTGTCAATATCACAGGGGTTGCACACCCCGCCTGTGATGTTATTCCTACTATCCAGAATAAGAGAGAATGATATTACTCCCAATAGAGCAGGGGGTGTACACCTGCCATGTGATATTGTTCTTAATAGCTAAAGAAAGAGAAGATAATATTGTTCTTTATACTGCAGGGGGTGTATACCCACCTGTGATATTGTTCCTAAAATCCAGGAAGGGAGAGGATGATATTACTTTCCATATAGTAGGAGGTGTACACCCATGCTGGGATTCTGTTCCTAATATCAAGGGCGGGGGAAGCATAATATTACTCCAATATCGCAGTGGGGGTGCACAACCCCCTGTGACATTGTTCTTACCATTCAAAAAAGGAGAGGATGACATTACTCCAGATATCCAAGAAAGTGTAAAAACCTCGTGTGATATTGTTCCTAATATCCAGAACAGGAGAAGAGGATATTAATCCCCATATAGCAGGAGGTGTCCACTCACAGTGATATTTTTCCTAATGTGCAGAGGGGAGAGGATAATAATATTGCCAAAATCGCAGGGGTCGTGCACCCCCCGTGAGATTGTCCTTAATATTCAAAGGCAGAGGGGATGATGATATTACTACCAATATCGCAGAAAGTGTATACCCCGCAGTGATATTGTTCCCAAGATCCAAAAGAGAAGAGGATGATATTACTTTAAATATCACAGAAGGTGTACACGCGTCCAGGCATATTGTTTCTAATTTCAACATGGAAGAGAATGATATGACACCCAATATCTCAAAAAGTACAAACTCTCTTGCGATATTGTTTTTAACATTCAGAGGTAAAGAAGATAATATTACTCCTAATACTAGAGAGGGTGTACACCCGCGTGTGAAATAGTTCGTAATTTCCAGAAGGGGAGATGATACTACTCACAACATGGTAAACAGGCTGTGAGTCCACCGTGAATCGTAATAGCTCGGGATGGGGGAGGGTGGCTATTACTCCCCATATGGAGGGGGGTGCCTCACCACTTTGACATGTGGATCGTAATGGCTGGCGGGGAGAGTGGGGTGCTATTACTCCCCATTTGGCGGGGAGTGCCTCACCCTCTTGCTATATGGGGATTACTACCATTCTCTCCCCTCTTAGATATTAGATACAATTTCACAGGGTGTGTGTACACAGCCTGCAGTATTGAAACTAATATCATCCTCTCCACCTCCGGATATTAGGAACAATATCCCAAGATGGTGTACACTTTTTGCGAGATTTGGAGTTATATCATGCTGTGTTTCCCTGAATATTTGTAGAAATGTCACAGCGTGGGTGTACACCCACTACTATATTGGGAGTATCTTCGTACTCTACCCCCTGAAAATTAGGAGCCATATCACAGAAGGGGTGTAAAGCCACTGCGATATTTGAAGTAATATCATGCCCTCCCCCACCACTTATTAGGAACAATATCACAGGAGGGTGTATACCTTGGCGGTATTGGGAGTAATGTCATCATCTCTTCTTTTAGATGTTAGGAACAATATCAAAGGGGGTTGTACACCCCGTGTATTATTGGAAGTAATATCATTCTCTCTTCTTCTAGATTCTATGAATCATATCACAGGGGGGTGTACCCCCCTTGTTATATTTTGAGTAATGTTATCTTCTTTCAACCTGGATATTAAGAACAATATCACATGGGGGGTGTACATCCTTTCAATGTTGGTGGTAATACTATCTTTTCCCTTCCCGGATACAAGAAACAATGTTACAGGCGGTATGTACACCCCTTGCAATATTGGGAGTAATATCACCCCTCCCCATGTGGTTATTAGGGACAAAATCACAGGGTGAGTGTACATTTCCTAAGTTATTGGGAGTAATATCATCCGCTCACACCCTGGATTTCAGGAACCATATCACAGAAGAGGTGTACACCCCCTGTGATATTGTCAGAAATATCATCCTCTTCTCCCCTGGATATTAGGAGCAATACCACGGGGGGGTGGGGGGGTGTAACCCACTGCGACATTGAAAGTAATAACAGCCTCTTTCCCGCTGGATATTAGAAACTATATCACAGGTGTGTGTGCACCTTCTGCAATACTGGGAGTAATATAAGCCTCTACCATGCTGCATATTAGGAACAATATATAAGGGGGGTTTACACCCCCTGCGATATTGGGTGTAATATTATTCTCTTTTTCCTGTAGATTAGGAACTATATCAGAGGGGTCTGTACACCTTCTGTGATATTGGGATTAATGTTATCCTCTCCCCCACTGAATATTAGAAACAATATCACAGACATATCACAAACATAGCAAAGCTCCTAAGCTCACGCTCTTTCCAGTCTGTTTTTAAAGACAGGCCCACACCTGTGTAAAGTCTTTAACTCATGTTGGATTGATCCAGTTAGCTCTCCTTGGTGCTTTTGTATCTACTATTCCCTGCCTCTCTCTGTCATGTCTTATCTCCTTCATTCTCCAGCACTTTAGTAAAATCCTTTTCATCAAGCAGCTTAGCTTCATCCCTGTGTTTCCCAATCTCAGCATGATTGACATAGTGGGACAGATAATTCCTTTCTGTAGGGAGCTGTCCTGTGCTTGTAGGATGTTCAGCCACATCCCTGGACTCCACCCACTAGATACCAGTTGTGACAACCAAAAATATTTCCAGGTCTTGCTAAGCATCCCGAGGAGCGCAAAATTGCCCTCAGTTGAGAATCCCTGCTCTGGTGTATCTTTCCCTACATATCAAAAAAATATATTTCAGAGGCTTCCTTGAAAACCATAGCCTTTACTGGTTATCTCTTATCTGCAATTAACTATATTTACTTCCTTAAATCCTCTTTTTCATAATTTTCTTCATAGTTTAATTCTTTGTTGATATTTAACTTTTCACGTAAATAATGATTTCTTCAACTTTTCTAAAAGCTTCTTTGAAATAGAAAACAAGTCCTTACTCAATCTTAATAAGCCCTTAATAAGCCTGTTTCCTACAGACATTCAACTATTTGATAATTTGATTATGTTGGGGCATGAATTTGGATTAATGTATGATGTGAAATTATTTAAAACACCTTATGAAGCTCAGCAGCAGCTCAAGTCACACGAGAGTATAATGACAAACATCATCCACTCTTCAGTTTCCACCCGTGCACCAAGTTAATCTCTTAAACAACAACACAATTTGGGTTTCTACCTAGTTTCTGTATTGGAAAAAGCAAGAGATAGAAAGTTGAGGTGAGCTAATAAATCCTGAGATGTTTGGTGTTTATATATTAGTGCAAGTGTAAAGTCACTGTTTGCCAGAAAAAGGTATAAAAAAGACATTTTGTAAATATGCAAATTGTTTTACATTAGATAATGCAAATTACCTTAATAATTTAATTAATTAATAAGTTAATTAATCTTTCAACATTTTCTAACATCTTTCAAGTGCTTGGGTCTTTGCTCTATTTTAGAAATCTTGAGTTTAGGTAGAAATCGTGATATTGTAGTCTCATAAATCACCTTAAATATTGTTAATTTGGTGAAAATTCTTTAAGGGCAGGAATAGAGGACCTCTATTAAGTTTATTTATTTAATTCAAAAATTTTAAATTGTGACAAAATGTACATAACATTTACCATCTTATGTTTTTATTTTTACAATGTTTAATTTCTATGGGTACAGAATAGGTGTATGTATTTCTGGGGTCTGTAATATTTTGATACAGGCATACACTGTGTAATAATCACATCAGGGTAAATGGGTTATCTATCATCACCTCAAACATTTATCATTTCTATGTGTTACAAATGTTGCAATTATACTCTTTTGTAATACCATCTTGATAATTTCTAAGTCGGCAGCTCAGTAGTGCAAAGTACATTCACGTTGTTGTGCAACCAATATCTAGAGCTCTTCATCTTGTGAAAGTACCCATTAAACTCTGTACCCATTAAACAACTCTCCACTCTTTCTTAGCTCTTTGTTAGTGGCTTTGCTCTTGCACTAGCCCCTACAGGTAATCATATTATACTTTCTGTTTCTATGAATTTAACTACTCTAGGTACTTCATTTAAGTTTGATCACACAGTACTTGTCTTTCTTTCTGTGATTGGCTCATTACACTTACCATAATGTCCTCAGGATTCATCCATGTTGTCGCATGTGTCAGAATGTTTTTCCTTTTTAAGGATGAATAACATATAACACATTTTGTTTGTTCATTCAACTGTTACTGGGCACTTGCGCTGCTTCCACATTTTGGCTATTGTCAGTAATGCTTTCATGAACGTGGCTGTGCAAAATATCTCTTTGAAATCCTGCTTTCAATTCTTTTAGATAAATAGCCAGGAGTGGTATTGTTGGGATGTATGATAATTCTACTTTTACATTTTTGAAGAAATGTCACACTGTTTTCCATAGCAGCTGCACCATCTTACATCCCTACCAACAATGCTTACGGGTTTCAGTTTCTCCATATCTTTGTCGACAATGGTTATTATCATTTGTTGTAGTAGCCACCCTAATGAATGTGAGATGGTATCTCCTTACTCATTGTGGTTTTGTTTTGCATTTCACTAATGATTAGTGATGCTGAGCTTATTTACATGTGTTTGTTGGTCATTCATAGATCTTCTTTGAAGAAATGTCTGTTCAAGTCTCTTGCCCATTTTTTAAATTGTGTCATCTGTTTTTTGTTGTTGTTGAGTTGCAGGAGTTCTTTATATGTTGTAGATATTGACTCCATTTCAGATGTATGATTTGCAAATATTTTCCCCCATTCCACAGGTTGCCTTCTTGCTCTGTTGATTGTTTCCTTTGATGCCCAGAAGTTTTAAACTAGAAGTCTAATTTATCAAGTTCTAATTTGTTGTCTGTGATTTTGCTGTCAGATTCAAGAAACCATTGCCAAATCCAGTGTCTTAAAGGACGTCTATTAAATTTATCTTTCTTACAGAATCTAGAACTCATAAAATACTGTCTTGTTGAGTGACTGAATGATTTCAAAATTAACCAGCAATCAAATCTTCATAGTTTCCCTACTACAATTCCATAATCTCTATGCACATTTTTTTTTATTGTAAAAACTGGGGGAGTTCTTTTTTTTCTCTTTCTCAAATGATCTTTCACTCTCTGCTCTAGCTATTGTGTTCTTTCACACAGTGCATACTCTTTATTTTCATTTAATCTTATAAAACTAGTGCAGCTATTTTGATTAAGGTGTTGTCTCTTTATGCCAGAAAAATGCACCTGATAGTATGGTGTAGATGTTAATAACTCAGTCGAGTTTGAATCCAAAATTTGTCACTATGTTAGGACAGGGACTATGTCTATCTTTTTCACTGCCTGGCACAAATTAAGAGCTTAATAAATATCTGTTGAATTAATAAAGGTATAAAATGGATAAGATGCTTAACTCATCTAAATCTTAACCTGTGAAGGGACTAAAACCATCAATCTTATGAGTGAAAACAAGTTAATTATACTCATCACCTAAAATTTTTTGAGGATTAAATGGAGAACAAAATGTATTTGTAGGCTTATCAATGTTTGACAATAGTGATTCCTCATGAATTATGTTGATCAATTACTGCTTAATAAGAAATTAGACTTGCAGGACCCAGAAAGTCCTTAAAAGTTGCAAAACTGACACTAAATATATGCATGACACTGTCCAAAAGAAACCATGTAAGGATGTTACACTCTTCTTGGGAAGACAAGGTTAGATAAAAATGTGTACATAAAAAGAAACAAGATCATTGGTGAGTGAAGCAAATATTCATGCCTATTGGAATTCCAAAACAGATTACAATGGAACTGAATAGCCAGATAAAGCTTCGTAGAGATGACGAGCTTGAGCTGTTCCTTGATAGACAGCTGAATTTAGATGACCACACAGGAAAATAAGGACATGCCAGGACAGGGAACATTTGAAGTGTAGTTTGTCCATCAATTTGTCTTCAGAGTGTGAAAGCCCTTCAATGTCATGCTATGGATTTTGTATGTCATCTTCTAGACCAGGGGTTGGCAAACTTGTTAACTTGTTATGTAAAAGGCCAGACAGCAAATATTTTAGGCTCTGCATATTCCTCTTTGCTTTTTTCTTACAGCTATTTAAAAATGCAAAAACCATTTTTAGCTCCCAGGTTGTATAAAAACAAGCCACAGACTGGATTTGGCATAGTTCATGGACCACAAGGCTCTATTAAAGATTTTTTAGCATTTACTTGATATAACTAGAGGTACATTCTAGGAAAATGGCTGAAGGAAGTGAGAATCACCTTACTTATCTTTCTTTACCTGGACTTTTTATTGTCAGAGAAAACATGTTTTCCTATTTAAATACAGGGACAAAGCTTAATATTTTCTTGTTATGTATATACAGAAGAGAATTCTACCATCACCAAGAAAATTATAGTATACAAGTTATTTAGACATTTTCATTGCCTTGCACTCTCTTTTTGCTGGTTAGAGTTGGTATCATAATTGCTATTAATAACACTACAAATGGGTACATTGTAGGCACTTAATAGCTACTTTAAGAATTGAATTTAGGAGGTGAAAAATGCTTTATGAACTCTATAATAAAGAAGTTTTATGGGAGCTAGTTAAGAAACAAATGTTATGAGAAGTGAAAATTCTTCTAGTATGTATCATAAAGCATGACAGTCTTTATGCTAGCAACTTAATTCTACAAGCCTTATGTGTTTGTGTTTAAAGGTATTTCCATGAAAGTCAAGATATGGAACCAAAGACATATATTGTCCATTTACTAATCTCCTTATTAATAAAAGAGAATTGTTTAATTGTTTGGTTTTTGAGATGGAGTCTTGATCTCTCACCCAGGCTGGAGTGCAGTGGCATGATCTCAGCTCACCGCAACCTCCACCTTTTGGGTTCAAGTGATTGTCCTGCCTCAGCCTCCCTAGTATTTGGGATTACAGGCGTGCACCACCACACCCGGCTAATTTTTATATTTTTAGTAGAGACAGCGTTTCGCCACGTGGTCCAGACCGGTCTGTAACTCCTGACCTCAGGTGATCCATCTGCCTTTGCCTCCCAAATTGCTGGGATTACAGGTGTGAGCCATGGCACCTGGCCTAACAAACAGAACTGTACCAGCCTCACAGTAAGGTTGATTAACTATGTTGTTACATGAACAAATTTAAGTTTCTTCATCTTTTAAAGCCGTATAGGAGAACCCAAATGCTGGGAGTGTATGATGGTTAACGTTATGTGTCAATATGGCTAGACCATCAAACATCAAACATTATTCTTGATGTTTGCATGAAGATATTTTAAAGAAGAGATTAATATTTAAATGAGCAGAATTTGCATAAATCAGTTGATTCTCCATAATGTGGATGGGCTTCATCCAATCAGCTGAAGGCCTTAATAAAAAGGAATAACCTCCCAGGCAAGATGGAATTCTACCAGCAGACTGCTTTTGGCCTCCAATTGCAGCTCTTCTCTGGGTATGTAGCCTGCCGGTTTATCCTGAAGATTTTGGACTTGCCTCCACGATCACATAGCCAGTTCCTTAAAATCTCTCTGTTTCTGTCTCTGTCTGCATGTGTGTTTGTGTGCGTGTGTATGTGTGTGTATATATATATGTGCACAAATATACCTGTCTTGTTCACTGCCTGGCACATAGTAAGAGCTTAATAAATATCTGCTGAATTAATAAAGGTCTAAAATGGGTAAGATGCTTAACCCATTTAAATCTTAACTTGTAAAGGGACTAATACCATCAATCTTATGAGTGAAAACAAATTAATTATACTCACCACCTAAAATTCATGCATATATATACACACACACGCATGCAGAGACAGAAGCAGAGAGACTTTATGTATGTATATATCTATACGTATGTACACACACACACACACACATCCTGTTCTGTTTTGCTAGAGAACCCTAACACTGTGTGTGTGTGTGTGTGTGTTTGTGGGTGTGTGGTGTCAGTGTATAACTTGGAATCTAAGTTGTGTGGTATATACAAAGTTAACTTACAGCAACAGGTGAATGAGCTGGTAGGTAAGAAGGAATCTCCCAGCGTGATTGAAATAAAAACCTACTGACATGCATTCTGTATGTAGAAAGCAAATGGACAAAAAAATAACCATTTGAAATATAAGTCCTTAGAATGAAAGCCATGTGAACTGATGCAGGAGCATTACAAGCTTTGATATGACACCAAGTATTTCTCTTGGAGGGTAACTAAGCTGTTTGCTCTTCAGGGAGTAGTGCAAGGAATTATTCTTTGATATGTTGATGGCTAATGACTCTCCAAAGTCATCCAGTAAACTTAAAATTTTTACTTTTTACATTAACTAGTCATAATCAGGGCCAAGAGTTCTCCTTTAATTATACACAACTATGGAGTAAATTGGAGGTAATTTAGTTAAGTTCAACTAACAGTTATTGTGTAACTACCAAGTGCTATTATTAGGTACTGTTCAAAGATATGTAAGAGGCTGTTCCTTCAAGACACAGTGTCATTGGGGTTAACAACAGCTCCTAAGGCCTTAAAAGAATGTCAAAAGAAAGAAGGAAAGAGAGAAGAAGAAAGAATATGTGAATAAAGAAATAATATAAATAGTCTAAATACATTATCTTTCTTGGAATAAGGGAGATGCTTATTTTAATCCCATAGATTTTTAAATAGAGTGCATAAAAGAAAGTTACTCAAGGTGAAATTGGAATATCACTATCTGACATGTTCTGAGGAAACAAAATTTATGGCAGGTATGCTTTCATGAAGAAAAGAGACAAGTAAGGATTTAACAAAATGGCATGTTCAGAATAACAGAGCGACAAGATCCCTTCTGGGGACATCAGGCAGATAGGGATGGATCAAGTCCCCAGACTCGTGAAGGGATGGAGAAGTAGGTGAACAAAATTGCTTCTGGAGATTTTGCCTTCTTTGTGGTCTTGTCTAGAGTCCTTCAAATAGTTTTAATAAACAGTTACTTGATGAATGCCCAGAATGTCTCAAGTGTAACCTAAGTTATAACTAATATTAAAATAGGAGGGTTTTAGTTTTTTGCTACTTGTTTCCTTCCAAACAGTCTCTGCACTTACGATTTTCCAAGTGTTATCTATTCTTGCTTCTTAGGTTTTATAGTTTTTATTTTTCGGTTAGAGCAACTAAATTTCACCAATAGGGTCTGGAACACTTAAGGGATTTTTACCCATAGAACTAACTTTTACACAATAGCCTGAAAAGAAGTAACAGCATTCTGGCATTTTACATTGTGAAAGGAGGAGCAATTTTATTTATTAGAACACCTAAGCTATTGGCTTTCACCACAATCTAAAATAAACTGTCTTGCTATTTAAACCGTGGGTACGATGACCTATTTTCTACTTCTGTTCAGAGAAAATTCAAATAATTGTGAAGAAAAAATATTGAATGTCAAAGTGCATTTGCCTTTGCAGAAATAGTATGAGGTGTTACTAATGAGGATCTGCAGATAACCACAATTTTGCACCGTTCAACATTCATAAATAACTACTGGCTAAATCAAGGGAGCAATTTCTGCTATTGTGTCTTGCATGTGAAGTGTACATGTTATCTCAACATCAAAGTGTGTGTAGTACTACCAAAGGAAGGAATATGATGATAGAAACATTTTGAGCCACAAGTTATCAGTAGATCACTTAGTGGTATGGCAGTGTTCCAACCAGGCATAGTTTCTTTTGTGATGCAAACAAAGGTTGTTCTTTTGCCTGTGTTTGAAATCCAACCTGATATACATGATTTGTTCCACTAGGCTACTGGCTGATTTAAGTAGGTACATATTTCTTTTAACTAATATTGTGAATATATAAATTACAAATATATTATATATTTGTATATATTACTATATATTACATATATTACTGTGAAAAAATATATATAATAGTCTAAAAGTTTGTGCTGCCCCAAATTTATGTATTGATATTCTAACCCCCAAGGTGATGGAATTAGGAGATAAGGTCTTTGGGCAGTGCTGTGTTCTGAATGTTTGTGTTTCTCCAGAATTCAGATGCTGAAATCTAATCCCCAATGAGTTGGTATTAAGAGGTGAAGGCTTTGGGACGTCACAAGGTCATGAGGGTGGACCCCTCATTAATTGGATTTGTGCTCTTAAAAAGAGGCCCAAGAGAGATTTTTTGCCGCTTTTACCACGTGAGCAAGAAGCACCATCTTAGAAGTAGAGAGTGGGCCCTCACTAGACACTGAATCTGCTGACACCTTGAACTTGGACTTCCTAACCTCGAGAACACTGAGAAATAAATTAATAAATTTCTGTTGTTTATAAATTACCCAATCCAAGGTATTTTGTTCTAGCAGCCTGAATGGACTAAAATAACACACACACACACACACACACACACACACACACACACACACACACATATTTACTTGTTTTTTTAAACCAATGACTTGGAGGTAATGGTACTTTTCTGACTGTATTCAGAAATCTAGTTGGTGAGTGGTTGGGGATAGATTTCTCTGTATTAATCAAATATTGATGATTACTTGCTAAATTATCCTTTTTCATATTTATATTTTGATGTTTCAAGCTGGAAATTAGCAAACACTAGCTTCCATTAGTTAAAATGTTCCTGCTGATGGCCTAGGTTACAGCAGTTTAACTCTCCAGCAAATGTACTCAACCCAAAATGGTTTAAGCAAATACTTTTTTGGATGGATTCTTGATCGGACCGACATTTGAACTTGAGTGAGATCTCAGATGCTGAAACTGTAATTTTTCTAATCTGAAGCCCCTTTACAAACAATGGTTTTCACTTCTGATTTATTTTTCTCTGTTTTAATTTGTACACATAGTTTTCCAGCTTTCATTGCCACTACTAATGTGGTGAGAAGTTGCTCGAGGCACAGGCTGCAGATCATTGAATAATGTAATTATAGTCTGTTGGCTGGGCTCTTAACTCCTACTGAACAGAGCCTCCCAAAAGTGATGACTCACAGCTATAGTGCAGCACAGAGGACTATAGAAGGGTCACAATTTGATCTTAGTATTTGTGAAATACAAAATATTTTACTTCTTAGTATAGTTAGTATTTGAGCTAAGGCCTCTTATTCTCCAGTAAAAATTCTTAGTATTTGAACTTAGATTTGTGATGAAACTCAAATTTGATAAGTTCTATAAATAAGAATTAGAGAAGAAGTGAAAAACTGTAGAGCTACAACGTGATGTCTCATATTCTGATATAATATAATTGTTTAGATAATTATAAAGCACCAAAGAATATTTTGAAAATGAAAGGATATTTTGGATAAAAATATATTCTCCAGAAATTCTTGGTAAATTTTATGGCAATCATAAATGTTCTTTTGTAGTAGCTTGGATATATGTTGGCAAGACTGATTCTGAATTCTACTCTCTTTCTTTAAATATTAAACGGGTATTTACTGTGTGCAAAATTTTACATATTATATAATGATTTTTCTGCTTCTTAGGGATGAGCTAAGCTTTATATTATTTTCCAATTGCTTTTTCCAATCATCATCTATATATGAAACTATATGGGATAAGCTATAAACTATAAACAAAGAAATGTATCCATGTAAGAAGTTGAAATGGGTAGCCTTTAGGGAGAATAGGGTAAATTACAATATTTATAAGTATATAAATATACATAAGTTACATCGTAAGTGGCCTACTTTAAAGTAAGTCCCATATAAGCATGCATAAGTGTCCTGTAAGGAGAACTCACCTACAGGGACTAGTCAATATTAATGACTATAATAAAATTAAATCTAATTACCAGAGAATCAAGAGTTAACTTTGATTTAAAAGACATTTTTCCTGTTATTCGGTGCCATAGATATTTTAATCTCCAATCCAACACACTACCTACTAGCACACAAAAGTAGAAATCAGAAGGGCCATGTAGTGTGTACCACTTCTTCAGCGTTCCTTAGGTGTCCTACTGTTTGGTGGAAAACTTTTTTTTACTGATCTTCCACAATACATTTCGGTGGAGATACATTTGTATATACATATCAACTTTTATACTATAGTCTTTTTATCAGTTAACTTTCTAGTCCTTTTTATCAGTTTTTCATTCCTTCCTGTGTTGGAAGCATGCACCGTGATGTTTAGTGTGCCACTGATATGAATCTAGTCTGCTACTTGTCTGTTAATAACAATATTTTAGGGATAATGACTTGACTGAAAAGAGACAAAAAACAGCATGAATAGGAATCTCAAAATATTCTTAACTTAAAAAAATATTGATATAGTTTGGATTACTTATGCAGGCCAATGGATTTACATGTGATAACTTCTAAGAAATTCTTTGATTCAAACTACCCAATGAGTTGCTAATTGTGTGCTTTAAAAAAGCATAGCATAATCTAGGAATTATTAGGCTGAGTGAACGTAGCTAGAATAGCTTCAGAGTTGATTTTAACACCTTACACTTCTAGGGTTGTAATAGAAAAAGGTGAATTGAGAACATTTAAAGAACATGATTTGAATGAGATCATCTAAGAATGGTTCAAAGAAAATCAGACAGCATTGGGTGGTGATTGTAGAGAGAAAGAATGAAATAAAGTTTAGACTATAAAATAGACCTTGAAGTGGATAGCTACTCTACCCCTTAGTAATTTGAGGTTGAAATCTAAAGGACTTTAAAATTTGGAGGTCTGCTTTAATAGCATCAGTCCAATATAATTTAAAGGAAAGGGAATAGATAAAATTTGTAATTTTTTTTTTAATAATCAGGAAGCTAGACTGGAATAAGCAATGCATGAGTCCTCTTTATTTTAGGTGCAGGATACGCCGATCAGGAGGGAAGAGTGTGAGATTCAGGAAAGAATTAGGTCTTCTCAGGAAGCTTGTGTATTTTTTTTTTTTTTTTTGAGATGGAGTCTCGCTCTTTCACCCAGGCTGGAGTGCAGCGATTTCGGCTCACTGCAACCTCTGCCTCCTGGGTTCAAGGGATTCTCCTGCCTCAGCCTCCCAAGTAGCTGGGACTACAGGCACCCACCACCATGCCCGGCTAATTTTTTGTATTTTTAGTAGAGATGGGGTTTCACGGTGTTAGCCAGGATGGTCTGGATCTTCTGACCTCGTGATCCGCCCGCCTCGGCCTCCTAGAGTGCTGGGATTACAGGTGTGAGCCACTGCGCCCAGCCACCTTATTTTCTTAAAATGAAACAAGTAAATGTCCTTGGGGAAAGTTTTTCTATCTTAAAAATAATTATTCATCAATATAATCTCTGCCTGCATGGCTCAGTACATAAAATTGGGGGCTTTATTTTTTGATTTCAGTTCTTTTATCTCTGAGAACATTCCTTCTTTCAGGGAGTCACAGATTCTGATTTTCTGTGAAATATATCATCATCCATGCCAGTTTCATGTGTTTGCCTGCTTTGGCAGTAGGAAGTCATCATCAGCTTCTCAGAGGTATCCATGTGCCCCTTACAGAACCCTGCTGTGTAGGACACAGATATCTCTGAGATTATCCGAGCTAAAATAACTAATTATTTTCATTAATTGACCTCCTGCTTTTATCTGTTTCTTAAGAAATTCAAGAAAGCTTTATTATGGCTTCTCAATCTTTTGTGACCAACTATCTCACAGAATGATTATTCTCAATCTATAGACACATTTGAATCACCCGGAAGACTTAAAAATAAAATGTTTCCTGGGTCCCATGCCCAGAAATTCTGAATGAATTTGTATGTGGGGAGGTGGCAAGTGGGGGACAATATTGAATATTTTTAAAAAGCTTCCCTAGATGATTCTAAAGTGCAACCAGGGTGGAGAACCACTGGCTTAAAATGTTATGGAGCTTCACATTTTAATTAGTCATGGTAAATTGACAGCAATTTTGAAAATTAGCATGAAAATGTCTTTCTATGCTACATGTAGTGCTCAGATTTGACTGGGCAGATAAAGAGGAAAAAAAGTGAATGAACCAGGTTATTATATATATCTGAATGGTTAATACCTACCTAAGTTATCTCCAAAGTCATGGTAAAGCTCAGGTAATAAAAGGAACTGTAACTTTTCTTTAGTAAATCCTTTGTAAGTAATTAAATTACTGACTACAGGACAATTAAATACTGACTACAGAAATTTGATTGTTCAGAAGAACCCAATCTAAGCACAAGTATTGAATCATGTATGTTGTTCACGAAATAGTCATCAATAAAACACAAGCTTCCCAATCCCTTTCTAAGGAATCTGACCTGTTTTAAAATTAGGTCATTGATGCCTCTACTACAGTTATTTTGAGATTTTAAAATAACATATTTTAAACATAAGTAAGTTTCTTGAAATTAGTGTTTTAGTCTAAATTCCCCTCCTTCCAGATCTTATGCAAAATCTATATTCATTTTTAAAATTTAATTAACAAGGATTCCTGCATTATGAAGGGTATCTTTTCCTCTACCTCATCCCATTTCCATTTCCCTTTGATTTTTAAATCAAGATTCAAATCAAGTCTTATTCATTGATGAGCTAAATAAACTGTTCTCTAGCAAAGAGGATGCTTTCTAATTAGCTGTAGGATATAATTAGCACATGCTCTGGGCCAGTAAGAATTGGATTTGCCAGATGCCAGCATCTGACAATCCGAGCAATATTAGTGATAACAGGCAGAAGAGTGAATGAAGAATAGGAAAAAAGAATGTCCTTACTTCAAGGGGATGAGGCTGTCAGCATTTAAGTGTGAAAATTTCTGACAACTTAGTCACTTGTGCTATTAAATATGTTAAAGCTTCCATTTTTAATATGCAAGTCTGTTAGAGCAAAAGGAACCATGGAGGACTCTGCATCAATAACCATGTATTATGGCAATTAGTCCATGAAGTGCAAAGCTGCCATAGATATAAAGCATCTTAGCTGAAAACCAGAATCTTGGCTCTACGTCAAAGTTTAATTTTTGATAAAAGCCTACAGTTGCCTTCAGAATTTGTCTAGCACCAGGGCACCATGATAAAATTATATTATTTCTTATGAAGAAACCAGACCATGAAATACTTTAACTCTATCTCATTTTCATGAAGTTCCAATTTATCTAATCCAATTGCAGACACATGTATGTGGACCCCAATGAAGATCTAAGAGCTTTTTGTGCTATTTTTAAGGTCCAAAAATAGAAAGCAGCATATTAGATTTGATTCTGAAATAAAAATACATTACTTACAAATAGAACAAAAAGTTTCATGTTTGACTAAATCCTTTCAGAAATCTCTTGGGAGCGGAGATGTGATATAAAAAGGGGCATTGCAATTTTACATGAAACAATCCCTAAGGCCCTTCACATCCATTTTACTTGATCTTTTTATCACAAATGGGGAAGTAATAGTTATTACGAATCCTTCAAAATATTCAGAGTTGCCTAGCATTCAAAGTAGAATAGCAATATCAAAATGTGTAGGAAGCTTTATTAACTCCACCCCTACTAATATGAAATCTATAAAAATGCATTTATTCAATTCACATCATGTAATTCGTGAATTCTGGATACTCATGAGGTTTTGTCCATATATATATAAACTTCAGTTAGAAGCACTATAATGTAGGCAATCATAATTCCAGTATTCTGCATAATGAACTAAGGATTATTCAAATTGAAAGATTTGAAAGTGATTCAACATAAAAAATGATTGAAAGAACTTACAATGTTTGTCTTGAGGAAGAAAAGACTAGTTAGACCATAATAGCCATCTTCAAATATTTAAAGGACTTCGCATGGAAGGAGCAGTGAGTGCTAAGGCACAGCTAAGAGCAGTAGTGAAAGTTTGAAGCAAGGATCTGAGACTCAGAATGAACTATCTGATCTAACCAAGATGGGGTTGAAACATAGATTGCTTGAATACGTTTCCCGACGTCTTCATTTACTAGTTGTGTGAGCTTGGAAAAGCTACTTTACCTCTCTATGCCTCAAGTATGTATAACCATAAAATGGGGCTGGACTTGCTAGCTAGTGGAGTCTCTGGGAGGCTCAGAGTTATTACTGCATGGTGGACAGAACTTTTGCCTAGCATATGATCAGTACACAGTAGGTGTTCCTATCTTTTATTATCATGCAATTTCATTCGACTACCTTAAAAATGAGAAAACCTCATTCTAGAGAATTTAGGGATTGTCCAAAGAACACCCTCCACTTTCTACAACTGTGTCCCGTTATTTTGTATATTAGTGTTATGGCGTGAATTATGTCCCTCAAAAGATACACAAAGTCCTTACTCTCAAGATCTAGGAATGTGTTCTTATCGGAAATAAGGTCTTTGCAGCTGGGCTCAAATTGAGATGAGGCTGGTGATTAGGGTGAGCCCTAAATCAATATGACTGGTGTCTTTATAAGTAGAAGGAAATTTTGACACAGATTCAGGAGGGGTAAATATCACATAAAGACACAGACATAAAGAGAAGAACGGCATGTGACGATGAAGGCAGAGATTGAAGTGCTGCAGCTGTGAGCCAAGGAATGCAGAAGAATGACTAGCCAACCACCAACAGCTAGGAAGAGCAAAGGAAATATTCTCTCCTATGCAGACGGAGTGTGGCCCTACTGACACCTTGATATTGGACTTTTGGCCACTAGAACAGTGAGAGAATAAATTTTTGTTGTTTTAAGCCATTCAGATTGGGGTAGATGATAATAGCAACCTTAGAAAACTAACACAGGGATATTTAATAAACACCTGAAAAATGAGAACCTTGTTACTGGAAGGATTTGTATAGAGACTAATACATCCATCAGTCAGGAATGTTATGGGCAAAAGTCCCACGCCAGATGGGAAAATATACTAAATCTATTCAGTGCAATGCTTTTTTGTTGAATGCTCAAAATTAGGGATATAATGATGAAGTCATTGGACTTGCCCATAATTATTTCATAGTTAGATGATTTCTAAAGTTCTTATAAATCTAAAATGCTTTTATTATTTTATGGTGATTAAAGTGTATTAAATGTGGAAAATGAAACAGCTTGTCCAATTGCAAATACATTTAACAATAAAGCCATACAAAAAAGTGCCCAGTAGAATTAGTTTGCTTATAAAGACAGAATTATTGATCCTAAAATAAAATGCTAGGTTATTAAAAATGAATCTATAAATATGATATAACTTTTCTATATAAGAAGATCCCTTCCAATACAAAATTTCATACATGTTATTTTATAAAGTAACATTTACAATATAGTAAAGATGTTTACAATGCACAGAGAGTTTATACCTATGCAAACATATTGTTTTACTGTTCATCCTTGTTTAAATAAAAGATTTGCATTTTCAAACTCTGTTAACTGGAAAAGTGTACATATAGTATGGAGAAAAGTTCAGAATTTAAGTTTTAGAAAATTAATCATTGTAAATTAAACATGCTTTAACCCATTTCATGTAAATTATTTTACTTTTCAATTTTTATCATGAAAATTTCAGAATATACACAAAATTAGATAGAATAATGGAATCAATCCCCATGTACCCATCACCCACCCTCAGCAATTATCAACATTGTGAAATATTTTAAATGGTCACTTTGATTATTCAAGGGCTATGGGCCCAACATCAAAATGATAAAACTAATTTTAATAAATTTGTTGATACTTCAACTTCAGTGTTCCCTTACACAGAACAATGATGGACTCATGGTAGACTCCATATTTTCAAATTAATAATATTGATATATTATAATTCAAGTGAGATTTTTATGTCCTTATATTTTTTATTTATCCATTTATTTTAGAGATATGGCCTGTTGCTCTGTCCCCTAAGCTAGTGTGCAGGGGTGTCATCATAACTCACTGCAGCCTTGAGCTCCTGGCCTCAAGTGATCTTCCTGATCCTCCTGCTTCAGCCTCCCGAGTAGCTGGGACTACAGGCATGAGACACCACACCCAGCTAATTAAATACTTTTTTTTTCTTCAGATATGGGTCTCACTATGTTGCCTAGGATTGTCTCGAGCTCCTGAGCTCAAGTGATCCTCCTGCCTCAGCCTCTCAGGTAGCTGAGACTATAGGTGTGCATCATTGCACCTTGTTTATTTTTGCTTTTTGACACTGTTATGTAGAAAGTTAGGACAGACTGTAGAAAAGCTGGCATTGTGATTACATTCAAAGATCACTCACAAATAGAATGCAGTCCTTCATCTTAGCAAAATGAAAGACTGTCTTTTTTAGGCAGGCACTTATTCAAAGTATGTTAAAGTGATGCAGAACTTTTTTTTAAGAAAAAACTTTATTTTAGGTTCAGGGGTACATGCGCAGGTTTGTTATATAGGTAAGTTGTAGGTCATGAGGGTTTGGTGTATAGGTTGTTTCATCACCCAGGTAATAAGCATAGTACCCAATAGGTAGTTTTTTTATCCTGTCCCTCCTCCTACTTTCCACTGTAAAGTAAACCCTGGTGCCTGTTTTTCCCTTGTGTTCATATGTACTCAATGTTTAGCTCCCACTTATAAGTGAGAACATGTAACATTTGGTTTTCTCTTCCTGCATTAGTTCGCTTAGGATAATGACCTCCAGCTCCATCCATGCTGCTGCAAAGGGCACAATCTTATTCTTGTTATGTGGCTGCATAGTATTCCATGGTGTATGTGTACCATAGTTCTTTATCCAGTCTACTGTTGCTGGAAATTTAGGTTGATTCCATGTCTTTGCTATTGCAAGTAGTGCTGTGATAAACATACGTGTGCATGTGTCTTTATGGTAGAATGTTTTTTATTTCTCAGATATATACCCAATAATGGGATTACTGGATTGAATGGTAGTTCTGTTTTAAGTTCTTTTAGAGATCTTCAAACTGCTTTCCACAGTGGTTGAGGTAATTTACATTCCCACCACCAACATATGTTCCCTTTTCTCCTGCCAGCATGTTATTTTTTTTTACTGTTCAGTAATAGCCATTCTGACTGGTGTAAGATGGTATCTCAATGTGGTTTTGATTTGCATTTCTCTAATTATTAGTGATGATGAGCATTTTTTTCATATGCTTGTTGGCTGTGTGTATCTCTTCTTCTGAAAATCGTCTAAGTCTTTTGCTCACTTTTTAGTAAGGTTTTTTTTTTTTTTTTGCTTGCAAATTTAAGTTCCTTATAGATTCTATATATTAGACCTTTGTCAGATACATAGTTTGGAAGGATTTTCTCTCATTCTGTAGGCTGCCTGTTTGCTCTGATGATAGTTTCTTTTGCTGTGCAAAAGCTGTTTAGTTTAATTAGATCCCATTTGTCAATTTTTGTTTTTGTTGCAATTGCTTTTGGCATCTCTGTCATGAACTCTTCACCAGGACCTATGCATAGAATAGTATTTCCTAGGTTATCTTCCAGGGTAGTCATTGGTAATTTGATAGGAATAGCTTGCATCTATAAGTTGCTTTGAGCAGTATGGTCATTTTAATGATATTGATTATTCATATTCATGAGCTTGGAATGATTTTCTATTTGCTCATGTTTTCTCTGATTTCCTTGAGCAGTGTTTTGTAATTCTTGGAACAAGACAAAGATGCCCTCTCTCATCATTCCTATTCAGCATAGTACAGGAAGTCCTAGCCAGAGCAATCAGGCAAGAGAAAGAAATAAAAACCATCCAAATAGAAGAGACAAAGTCAAACTATCTCTCTTCAAAAACAATAAGATTTTATACCACAGTCTATGCCCAAAAGCTCCTGGATCTGTTAGACAACTTCAACAAAGTTTCAGGATACAAAATCAATGTATAAAAATCAGTAACATTTTATACAGTAACAACATCCAAGCTGACAGCCAAATCAAGAATCCAATCCCATTCAGAATAACTACACAAATAATTAAAATACTTAGGAATACAGCTAACTAGGGAGGTTAGCTGTATCTCCATAAGCAGAACTTTTAAAAGGGCCATTATTTTTAAAAACCCCTCTTCCCTTCAAAACAATTGTTCATTAACATTTTTTTAAAAAGTATATGAGTTTCTATGTTTAAAAAAATTATATTGAAAATTTTTCTCTATTATCAAAATTATTTTTCAGTCTGCATAGTTTTCCATTGTATGAACCAATCCTTATTTGGGGATTTCCCTGTTGTTGGCTGTTAATTGTCTTTTCAGATTTTATCTGCTATATAGAAAACTGTATTAGTCCATTTTCATACTGCTATAAAGAACTGCTTGAGAGGGGTAATTTATAAAGGAAACAGGTTTAATTGACTCACAGTTCAGCATGGCTGGGGAGGCCTCAGGAAGCTTACAATCATGGCAGAAGGCAAAGGGGAAGCAAGGCACCTTCTTCACAAGGCATCAGGAAGGAGAAAGAATGCAGAAGGAACTACCAAACACTTATAAAACCATCGGATCTTGTGAGAACTCACTCACTATCATGAGAACAGCATGGGGGACACCACCCCTATGATTAAATTACCTCCACCTGGCCTCTCACTTGACATGTGGGGATTATGGGAATTATGGGGACTAAAATTCAAGATGAGATTTTGGGTGAGGACAAAGCCAAACCATTTCAAACACTGCTATGAAAGTCTTTATATATAGATCTTTCATGGTATTGCTGATTATTTTCTTAAGATACATTCCTGGAGGTATAATTATAGGATCATTGACTATTATAAGGCTGCTAAAGCATGATGCTAAATTTCTTTTCAGGAGTGTTATAATACTTTCTCCTCTAACTACCACAACTCTTCAATAGTAAGAGGTATTTTTTAAAAATCTAATTTAAAGAGAAAAATCTATACTTTTTAATGTTTTAGCTCACAGTTTTAGAATACTAGTAAGATAGAACATTTTTCATGTAAATAGAACATTTGTATTTATAATATGTATTTATTTTTTAAGTTTCTAGGCCATTTTTCTCTTGATGTTTTTTAAATTATTGATTTATAGACAACATTTAGATAATAAAGACATTTACCCAAAGTGTTATTCTAAAGATATTTTATGAGTTGAGTTTTTATGTTATTTATTTGCAAATCATGAAATCATTGTATTGCCATCAAATTAGCATTCTATGGAATTACCTGTTCATGTGACTCCTCTGTAGTTCCTATAGTGGGTGGACCCTGAAGCTGCCTACTCAATATCTGTCTCACTCCCTCACCCTCCAGCCACAGTACCCCTGCCCCAAGTATGACATCTGAGTGATTGAGTGCCACCTCCCACTCCTGGGACAGCCCTGAAGTGTCTAACTCAATCACAGTTGTCTCATCCTCCTTTCCAGTGATTGCTTCAGGAATCTAGATCTGAGCCAATAAGGACATTGATCTGATAGGAAGAGTTGGTTGTGGAAAGAAAAGTCTCAGGTGAATTAATTTGAGCAAGGGAGATGTGAGTGGGAGTTCGCTGGAGGCACTTGGAACTGCTTCCTGAGACTTAGGAGTGGCATACACACTTTGGGAGGCCAAGGCGGGCGGACTGCCTGAGGTCAGGAGTTCGCGACCAGCCTGGGCAACACGGTGAAACCCTGTCTCTACTAAAATACAAAAAATTAGCCAGGCGTGGCAGCGTGCGCCTGTAGTCCCAGCAACTCGGTAGGCTGAGGCAGGAGAATTGCTTGAACCCAGGAGGCAGAGGTTGCAGTGAGCTGAAATCACGCCACTGCACTCCAGCTTGGGTGACAGAGTAAGACTCCGTCTCGAGAAAAAAAAAAAAAGAGTGGCATACAGGGAGACCATTTCCTTTGCCCTGCATGCTGGACTCTGCGGATGTGAAATCTTCAACAGCAGCAGCTCTTTAACATCCAGTATGAGGATAGAGCTAGGAGATAGCAAGGAGCCAGGATGGAGCCTCACGCAGAGTTGTCATCCCCATAGTCCATCTGATAGCTGGACCTCCAGGTACTAATACATTCCTCAGCGTTTAAGATTTAGTTGGATTTTCTATTACTTACAAAAGAGTCTTCTAAATAATATTAATACTTATTAATATTACCCATTAAATATCATTCATATGTTTACCTAGGTATTCAAGGCCAGTCTTATCTCCTACTATTATACTTCCTGATTTATTCCCTGTATACTAGCCATGTTAGAATACTTACTACACCTTCATATTTTGATTGTCTAAAATGTGGTTCCTCAATTATATGTTAAAAAGATTAATTATTCTTGAAGTTCCCATTCCAATCTTACTTCTTTTATAGAGTGGCCCATGATTACTTTAGCTGGAAGTAGTCATATGCACCTTTAAATTGTGATACCATTAATTATGTTTTTTTATTCATTCATTTTCTTTTTTATTCAATGCCTGTTGTTTGTCCCTTGAGGACAATAGTATCCTTTTATTTTTACATCTCATATAATGTTTAGCAACAAGTCACCTATATATTATTTTTCTACTTGTCAAGGATTTCCATACATTTAAAAAACTTTCTGTGATATGAGTGTAGCTGCTTTCTAGCTTCTGCTCTAGTTCTTAACATTATAATTTCTTTCAATTAGTTAACTCATTCATTCATTCATTCATTCTTCATTCATTCATTCAATAAATAGTTACCAACAGGCCATGATGTACTAGCTATTTAGCTGTGTGCTAAATATCCAAAATGAATAAGGCACCATTTCTTCTCTTAAGGAGCTCACAGTGTAATAAGTGAGGCAAATGCGTAAACTGCTAATGTAAGAAACCCTGAAGTCTATGCTATTCCGCCTCACTGTTAAGGGCCGCTAATCTATCATAAATTACCGCTTTAAACCTATTGGTTTTTCTTTCTTTTTCCTCCCAATATATTTATGTCGGTAACTATTAAACTTACATCTATAGCCCTGACCTCTCTCCTGAACTCCAGACACAAATAGCCTATTCAACATTTCCAACTGGATGTCCAATAGACACTAATCATTTCCAATTAGAACTCCTGAATCCTCATTCTCCCAACCCCAAACCTGCCCCTTTCTAGTCTTTTGCATCTCAGCAAATAGTAATTTTACTAATTCAGTTGCTAAGGCCAAATATCAAGCCAACTTTGACTTCTCTCTTCCTTGTATGTGTTATATCTAGGAAGCAATCATGTTGACTTTACTTTCAGAGTATATTATGGTCTTTATCACCACAATGCTCATCCAGTCCTGGACTGAGACTAAAGCACTCCACATGTTTCCTGCTTCAACTCCTGATGCCCATGGTCTTTTCTCTACCCAAAGATCAAAGAAGTTCATTAAAAAAAAAAAAGGTCAAATTACTTTTCAGCTTGAAATGGTTTAACTGCTTTCTATTTCCCTCAAAATATAATCCAAGATCCTTAACTCACTTGAAAGGTCCTAATCTGACTTCATGTTATCATCGGATCTCATTTTCTTACTCTTTGCATGCTGCTTCAGCTCCAGCAACCGGCCTCCTTGCTCATCCTTGAACAGAGCAAGCCCAGGCCTTTGCTGGAGCCATCTTCCTGGAACAATTTCCTGAGATCTGTGCAACTTACTTTCTAGCTTTATTCAGGTCTCAGCACACATATCAGCGGATTACATATGTCCATGACCATCCTGTCTAAAACAGCATCTCTCCTCCCTCCTGATCAATATATTCTGCTTTATCCTCCTGAGCAGTTATCATCAATTGAAGGGTATATATAATTTTTAAAATTTTCTGTATTCTCTTATAAAAAATATAAGCTCCGTAAGAATAGAGACTGTTATGGTGAAACCATCCTTATAAACTTTATAAAATTGATCAGGAGGAAGGGAGGGAGAGAAAAGAAAATAAACCAAGCTTGCAGCCCACTCAGCATTGATCTTTAGGCAGCTGGCTCTCTGACCTGCGTCCTCTGAGCTGTTTGGTCTTCATAGCTGTTTGATTCTATTGCCTCGGAATCATGTAGCCCTGTTAGAAGATTAGAGTTCTCCATAACTGTTTTGCAGATAACAACTTGAACGTTATAAATTATGAAGTTTTCCATTTGAGATATTCTTTCAAGGCCTATGCACCAGTGAAACTACTGACGTCAGCTGGTCTGAAGGATGCCATGAGAATCTGACTCACTAAAGAATGAAGTTTCCACATCCTGATGATTTCATCCCTCTTTCCCCAACCAGCGACCTCAATTTTCCAGCCTTTCGTCCTCTATGATTACCCCAGCCCCTCTGGGAGATGGATTTCAGGGTCTCCTCCCATCTCCTTGGTTGACTCCTGTGATCGTTAAACTCTATCTCTGATGCATCCCTGCTGTCTGAGGGTGTTGGTCTGTTCCTGAGCAGTGGGTGTATGGTCCTGTTGGTCCTATAGCAATGACTACTTCTATGAGTCAACTTGGCTTGGCTATAGCAAGCAGTTTTTTAATTAAACATGAGTCTATGTATTACTATGAAGATTTTTTAAAGATCTTGTTAACGTCTATATTTAATTCATTTTAAGTAACAGAGACTATTCTTGATAATCTATGCAGGCCTCATCTAATCCATTGCAAGTTCTTAAGAGCAAAACTGAGGTTTCCCTGAGGAGGAAGAAATTCTACATGTGGACTTCAGCATCAGATTCTCCTCTAGAGTTTCCAGCCTGTCAGCTTATTATAAATAAATTATATTTATATTAATTTATACTTATATAAATTAATACCCTCAAATTACACATGAATATCAATTATATATATTTATATAAATCTCTGTGTGTGTGTCTCTCCATCCTCGTGCTTCTCTGCTGGATCCCTGATACACACACTGTGCTGCTCTTCACTATATGCTATGCCCCAGCATTGACCTGCAGTGACTGTATCAAAATGGCCCTGTTGCCTTCCAGTTGGAGTTAGCTAGTGGGAAACATTAACAGGAAATTAAGAGATTGGGGCAAGGCCCTATTTATTCACCAGATTTCCTTCCGGCTCGTTACTGCAAGTTGACTGTGAGACTCTGCTGAAGGCTACGTCTCTTGTGAGGCAGCCCTTTTCCTGCATCTACTCCCTGTGAGTTTCAGTAACTTCTCCCGCCCACTGTCCCTTCAAATCTAGAAATATTAACTGCTTTCCACTATTGCTAGCCATACAGCATTATACTATCCTTTGCTGGTTTCCCTAAAACCCACTAGCATCTTTGTAAATAAACCTTTTTATTATGCTCTCCTCTCTTACTCTGTTTAGGTATGCCATGTGCTTCCCGCTGGGGCCATACATAAAATAGGAATTTTGTCTTTCTTTCTTTCTTTCTCTTTCTTTCTTTCCTTTTCTTTCCTTCTTTCTTTCTTTTCTTTCTTTCTTTCTGTGCTGTCAGTATCTAGCGTAGTAGGATCTCTGTAAATATTTGCTGAATTGATAACCAAATGAGCATGTAGACTTCATTTTGCTCACTAGCTCGTAGCTATCTGGTACTACCTCAGAAACAGCCTATGCTTAGTCTTGCATACCCCACCTATAACGTCTCTCCTCCTTTTCTCAAATTGGTTCCCAACCACTGAGATCTAGTTTAACTTTGAACTTATTGAAGAAACACTCCCAGTTATTCTCAGCAGCAGTTATTCTTTTATTTATTTATTTTTTTATTATTATTATACTTTAAGTTTTAGGGTACATGTGCACATTGTGCAGGTTAGTTACATATGTACACATGTGCCATGCTGGTGTGCTGCACCCATTAACTCGTCATTTAGCACTAGGTATAGCTCCTAATGCTATCCCTCCCCCCTCACCCCACCCCACAACAGTCCCCAGAGTGTGATGTTCCCCTTCCTGTGACCATGTGTTCTCATTGTTCAATTCCCACCTATGAGTGAGAACATGTGGTGTTTGGTTTTTTGTCCTTGTGATAGTTTACTGAGAATGATGATTTCCAATTTCATCCATGTCCCTACAAAGGACATGAACTCATCATTTTTTATGGCTGCATAGTATTCCATGGTGTATATGTGCCACATTTTCTTAATCCAGTCTATCATTGTTGGACATTTGGGTTGGTTCCAAGTCTTTGCTATTGTGAATAGTGCCGCAATAAATATACGTGTGCATGCATCTTGATAGCAGCATGATTTATAGTCCTTTGGGTATATACCCAGTAATGGGATGGCTGGGTCAAACGGTATTTCTAGTTCTAGATCTCTGAGGAATCGCCACACTGACTTCCACAATGGTTAAACTAGTTTACAGTCCCACCAACAGTGTGAAAGTGTTCCTATTTCTCCACATCCTCTCCAGCACCTGTTGTTTCCTGACTTTTTAATGATTGCCATTCTGACTGGTGTGAGATGGTATCTCATTGTGGTTTTGATTTGCATTTCTCTGATGGCCAGTGATGGTGAGCATTTTTTCATGTGTTTTTTGGCTGCTTAAATGTCTTCTTTTGAGAAGTGTCTGTTTATGTCCTTTGCCCACTTTTTGATGGGGTTGTTTGTTTTTTTTTTGTAAATTTGTTTGAGTTCATTGCAGATTCTGGATATTAGCCCGTTGTCAGACCAGTAGGTTGCGAAAATTTTCTCCCATTTGGTAGGTTGTTTGTTCACTCTGATGGTAGTGTCTTTTGTTGTGCAGAAGCTCTTTAGTTTAATTAGATCCCATTTGTCAATTTTGGCTTTTGTTGCCATTGCTTTTGGTGTTTTAGACATGAAGTCCTTGCCCATGCCTATGTCCTGAATGGTAATGCCTAGGTTTTCTTCTAGGGTTTTTATGGTTTTAGGTCTAACGTTTAAGTCTTTAATCCATCTTGAATTGATTTTTGTATAAGGTGTAAGAAAAGGACCCAGTTTCAGCTTTCTACATATGGCTAGCCAGTTTTCCCAGCACCATTTATTAAATAGGGAATCCTTTCCCCATTGCTTGTTTTTCTCAGGTTTGTCAAAGATCAGATAGTTGTAGATATGTGGCGTTATTTCTGAAGGCTCTGTTCTGTTCCATTGATCTATATCTCTGTTTTGGTACCAGTACCATGCTGTTTTGGTTACTGTAGCCTTGTAGTATAGTTTGAAGTCAGGTAGCGTGATGCCTCCAGCTTTGTTCTTTTGGCTTAGGATTGACTTGGTGATGTGGGCTCTTTTTTGGTTCCATATGAACTTTAAATTAGTTTTTTCCAATTCTGTGAAGAAAGTCATTGGTAGCTTGATGGGGATGGCATTGAATCTATAAATTACCTTGGGCAGTATGGCCATTTTCATGATATTTATTCTTCCTACCTATGAGCATGGAATGTTCTTCCATTTGTTTGTATCCTCTTTTATTTCATTGAGCAGTGGTTTGTAGTTCTCCTTGAAGAGGTCCTTCACATCCCTTGTAAGTTGGATTCCTAGGTATTTTATTCTCTTTGAAGCAATTGTGAATGGGAGTTCACTCATGATTTGGCTCTCTGTTTGTCTGTTATTAGTGTATAAGAATGCTTGTGATTTTTGCACATTGATTTTGTATCCTGAGACTTTGCTGAAGTTGCTTATCAGCTTAAGGAGATTTTGGGCTGAGACAATGGGGTTTTCTAGATATACAATCATGTCATCTGCAAACAGGGACAATTTGACTTCCTGTTTTCCTAATTGAATACCCTTTATTTCCTTCTCCTGCCTAATTGCCCTGGCCAGAACTTCCAACACTATGTTGAATAGGAGTGGTGAGAGAGGGCATCCCTGTCTTGTGCCAGTTTTCAAAGGGAATGCTTCCAGTTTTTGCCCATTCAGTATGATATTGGCTGTGGGTCTGTCTTAGATAGCTCTTATTATTTTGAGATACGTCCCATCAATACCTAATTTATTGAGAGTTTTTAGCATGAAGTGTTGTTGGATTTTGCCAAAGGCCTTTTTTGCATCTATTGAGATAATCATGTGGTTTTTGTCTTTGGTTCTGTTTATATGCTGGATTACATTCATTGATTTGTGTATATTGAACCAGCCTTGCATCCCAGGGATGAAGCCCACTTGATCATGATGGATAAGCTTTTTGATGTGCTTCTCAGCAGCAGTTATTCTTCCATCTCTTCTGATTTCTCATCGAAAGCAAAGTCAGCCCATAAAACAGAATTTAGTGCTTAATCATGCCTAGTCTTGCACTATTAGTTTTTGTTTGCAGGGACTTGTTCTATCCTCCCTAAATGACTGTAAGTTCATTGAGGGCAATAACCAGTTCTCATTCATGTATTTTATAAAACTTGAATAATGCTGATTGTTCTTTCAAAATGGATTAGAGTAACATACATAGATGTCATTTCTAAGTGTTGAAATTTTCCCTGATCATTTATCAAAGTAATTTATTCTTTTCTTTTGTAATGAGAATTTAAAAATCTTCTATCTCTTGAATATACATTTTCCTAATTTATATTCAAGAACTAAATTTTATATTAGAATCTAATACTGCATTAAATATTTTTATTAAGGCCAACTGAAGTCTTACCTGTAGTTACACATCTTTCTGTAGTAATCAAAAAAAAAAAAAAAACAAAGAGGAATGAATAGAGTGAATTGATGGCATTGACTAACAGCAAAGATAAATTGCACTGTCTCTCCTTTACTATGCGAACTATTATTTTATGAACATAAGAGACTACATGGCCTGAAGCTTAAAGGGCTGTAATCTAGATTTCTGATTTGAGCTGAGCCACTAAATTTTGATGTGATCCTCAAAAAGTCATTTAATCTTTTCTGTGTTTCCATTAATTTAGCAAGAGAGCATAAATATCTCTCAAAGCAAGAATCTGTTATACAAAGAAAAAAAACCTACTATGAGTTAACAAATCTATTTCATTAATCTTTTAATAAAATTAAAGCCTTTAATAGCTAACAATTATAGCATTAAAATGGTGTTGTCAGAATTTAACAGATAAACAAAATAGGCATTCTTAAATGTAAGCTCACATTCACACTGAGTAAATAAGGCTAGGAAAAGAAATGCCCTTCCTGTTCATAGTCTAATTTTTTCCACTGTGAATAATAAAATCCCTTCTCCCTCAAAATCATCAGAAGGACTAAGTGCTACAGGCTGATTTGTTCTTTGCAACATGCTTTGAAGGAGAGCAAATGTGCTTTGTCAATTAGCTAGTTACTGCCTCTTTCCTTTTAAAAAGACCATCTTGGTCTGATTAGAAAACTAGAGAAAAGAAACTTTAATGGCAAGATGAGGACATTAACACCAATGTTGTAGAGAACCAAATGGAAAGCATTAGAATGCATTATTAATTGCTCAATCTGGAAAAAATATGGTAATTACTATGAGACTAGCAGAAAAAACAGACCGAATTGTCTACTGTGTCTCCTCAAGTTCTGTGATCTTATCTAACTCTCTCAGAGTAATAAAAATGTGAATGATACTTTCCGAGAAACTTGGAGGCATCCATATCTATGATGCTTGAATCACCAAGGCTTTCAGAAAACAGCACACAAATTCTCGACCTTGGCCACATAGCTTACAAACTTCACACACCTGGCCTCATCCCTTATAATTTAAGGCACAGTTAAGTCGAACCTAGTGAAAATCTAAATTATGCATTTGAATACTGATATAGCTGTTTGAAAGTACACTCAAATCAGTTATATTTCTACCTGACAGTCTAACTTGATACCAATATTTCCACACCCATCCTATTTCTTTTTCCCTGTTTGTCAATATAAGAATTTTAAAACTATCAGAAAAAGACTGTATATTTCTGAACTCTGCATTTCTATCTCAAGGGCTTGAAATGTCTTTCTGAAGATCTTACATCATTATCCTATTAGATGTCATTTAAGTAAATGGGTGGACCACTAACATGTTTTGCAACATTTCCACGTGCAAAATATTTAAGATGTCCAAAGAAGACATTATCAAGCACTAAACTTCAAATGCAAATTTCTCCTTGTAGTTTCTTCCACACAAAGCAATCTTTTTCAATAATATGTTAGCACATTTTTCTATATGAAGATGAAAAGCTAAATTGTTGGAAACTAACTGATGTTGGGAAAAACAGGGAAACAGGGAGTGCATCTTACTGGGATAAGAGAAAACATTATTTAAATTTTGGTAAAAGAGATCACCAAATTCACTTTATTTCTAGAGCTATCCAAAATAACAATATCTACAGTTTGAGAGAGAGGTTGACTTTGGAATGAAAGGTAAGAAAAGAGAAGAGAAAGAAAACAAATAGATAAGTCCCATAATCTTCGCAGGTCCACAGAGTGATATGGAAAATTCTCCTGAGCTGTAGGGCTTTTAGGCTGACAGCCCTGATATGTCATCCTTCCTGAGTATACACATCCTAATTGGAAATGTGGCATTTTATGCATACGCACGCATGCAGTCAGCATAAAAGGGCAATCCATGTCTTAGAAAAGATTCATCTTACAGAGATAATATGCGTAGGGACGAAGTTGAGAAAATCACACCACAAATCACCTTTTTATAGTTCTATGAGAAAGAAAACTTTCTAATATTGTCTACTGAGACTGAAGAATTTTTGTCCCCGTCCCCATTATTTACCTTTAATATCCATCACTTTATTAGATGAACAAATATACTTTTGAGAAATATATAAAATTAGTTTTATTCTAAAATGGTTCTTGTCCACTGACACATTGTGTTATGTCTTTTCAGTACAGCATGTTTTACTTCCCATTCCTTTTCCATATTGTTTTTGCACAAAGAAAGCTGCAATGTGCTGTGAAAGAACAAAATTAACACCCTATCCCAGTGACTTTGTTCACTGTCCAGAATGGCATCTTTGCTTCCATCTATGAAAGGGGTGGCTTTGGCATCAGACAAGCTGCTGGGAAAAACTGCAGAGTAGGTGACGGTGTTAGGCTGTCTTTGTGTTACTATAAAGAAATACCTGAGACTGGGTAATTTAAGAAGGAAAGAGGTTTAATTGGCTCATGGTTCTGCAGGCTGTACAAGCAAGGCACCAACATCTGCTTGCCTTCTGGTAAGGGCTTCAGGAAGCTTACAACCATGGCAGAAGGTGAAAGGGAACAAGTGAGTCACATAGTAAGAGCAAGAGCGAGAGAAAGGGGTTGAGGGGAGGTCCCAGACTTTTGAACAATTAGATTTCATGTAAACTAACTGGCAAGAACTGTCTTATCACCAAGGGAATGGTTCAAAGCCATTCCTGAGGGATCCACCCCCATGATCCAATAACCTCCTGCCAGGTCCTACCTCTAACATTAGGAATCACATTTCAGCATGAGAGCTGGAGGGGACACATATCAAAACTTTATCAGTAACCAATGGGCTGGATGGTGAAGTCCTGACATTTTACCAGAATCTTCTTGTACAAATGTAGTTACGGCCAAAACCTTTAGTAGGTTTTCTTTTATCTAAGCTACATTGCCCCAAATAGATGGCCAATTATGGTAGGAGGAATAGGGCTTTTGGTTGTAATGTATGCCTGTTCCAATGGTCTTTCCCTTAACACCAATGCTGCCACCAGTAATTCACTTTAAATAATTTGAGAATCATTCCATTGTGTAAGACTTAGTTTCAATTGAATTGAAGATGTGTCCTTTAAGTAGAATACTTTTAAGAAATGTGATTTTAGTATTATGTTCTGGGCTCTGGTCATGAGTGTTGCTTTATGAGAAAAGATAAGGTGGAAGTTTAAAAACAAAACAATTACTCTAAAAGCAAAATTATGAACCATCTGGAGAAAGTTTAGGAATATAGGAAAACAATGATTCAAATTACACTGAAAAAATATGTTTCAGGCAAATTAGCATTTTTGCTTTTGTCTGAATATCTGGATACTTGTCATACTCTAGCCAGAATTAATCACTAAAAACACAGTCAGCTTGTATTTTCATGATTACTTTCACTATAATAGTTGCTCGTCAAATGTCAAAATCAATCTGGCTTATTTGCTGACTTCCTACTTTTATGTACCACTCTTCTTTTGTTATATTAATTTTTAGACATGCTCATTTAGATCTGCAAATTCATTCCAATGTTACACTCCTGAGATTATTTTCTCTGAGCCTTTAAAAGGTCTTCTTTCTGCTAATTCAATCTCCCAAAAGCATTTTCACAATCAACAAATATGAATCATGCTATAACATTTTGCTAAATCTAATAATCTACATTTTCTCAGTCTTGGATATCACTCACCTGCAATTACCCCACTGAAATGGACTTTTGTAATTTTTACAGAATAAGATAACCAGATTATGTTAATTACAGTTGGAAGGCAGGGGCCATGTGTTGTGAGCTACAGAACTTGGCTATCTAGAAGATAATATGTTAGGGGCTGATTATACTGAGGCTTCCTCGAAACCTTTATAAAATGTGGAAATACTATTTATCCACCCTGTGAATTTTGTGATAAAGTTGAAAAAGTCCTGACCTCAGAATACTTACATGTAGACTTCTCTCCTCGTGTTTTTTTTTACTTATGTCTATTTTCCTCAGTTATTAAGGTATCATAACTTATTTTATTGAGTAGATTAGGTCTTAGAAGCCAATAAATGTAATTTTTCTATATGAAATAATTATCCTCACTAATCTTCATTTATTTAAAAAGTCTCTCTTTTCTAGGATATTTTGTTCATAAAATATAGAGAAATTCATTTTGTAGACCTAAATATTTCATAGTTACATATTTAATGAGAAAAAAACCTTCAATATATTTTCCTCACAAATAAAGGTAATGCTACAATAAATCGCAAAATACCAAAAAGAAAAGCAACTTGGATTTTGATTTGGAATTATATTTTACATTTTTGAAGGGTGAACACTGACAACTTAAACAAAACATTATCCTTCACTGCTTGAATTCTGCTTCCTAGGATTTTGTTGAGGCTGATGGCTTTTTGTGTTGAAAAGCTTGATCTGGGCTTTGTATTGAGAAGCTTGATCTATAAAGAAATGCAGAAACATAACAATTCGAAGATAACAATTCAAAATATTCCAGTAAAGAATAAATTTGTCAGTGCTTTTGCTAGAAACAAACAACAAATGAAGGTGGTGTGTATTTTTAGAAATACAGTTTGCATGCATTCAACGTTACACATTTTCTATACAATACGTGCTATGTAGGCACTGGGCATAAAAAGATTAACAAAAATCGGCTTCTGTCCTTATGGAGTTCAGACTTTCACTGTGTGTACTTGAAAGGGCAGGTCCTTTGCATTAGTCTCACCTGAAGCACTTGGTAAAAACGCATTCTGTATTTGAATCTCTGACAATAAAGCCCTGAAATATGATGCATCATTGATATGTTGTAACAAACTCCTTTGGCAATTCTTTAGTGCTGCAGATTAAAGAAATATTGAAGAGATCTGGAATACTGCTGAGGCTGGAGTTAAAAGTGCAGTCCACAGGCCGGGTGCAGTGGTTCACGCCTATAATCCCAGCACTTCGGGAGGCCTAGGCGGGTGGATCACGACGTCAGGAGTTCAAGACCAGCCTGACAAATATGGTGAAACCCCGTTTCTACTAAAAATACAAAAAATAGCCTGGCACAGTGTCACGCGCCTGTAGTCCCAGCTACTCTGGAGGCTGAGGCAGGAGAATCGCTTGAACCCAGGAGGCAGAGGTTGCAGTGAGCCGAGATTGCACCACTGCACTCCAGCCTGGGCGACAGAGTGAGACTTCATCTCAAAAAAAAAAAAAAAAAAAAAAAAGTGCAGCCCACAATTCCAACTGACCAGGATAATGTTGGGAGCATCACTCTGCCTTTCTTAGCATCAATTTTCTACTCCATAAAATGAGGGTGAAGGAGCTTGACAGAGATAATATCTAAGGTCCCTTGCCACTGAGGCCTCTCTCAACTAAGAGATGTTGTTTTGTTATGGCACTCAATGCTGGGCACAATAATACCTGGTTTCCCCTTTTTCTGCATTTTATCTTCCTGTTATTACCTCTGGGAAGGGATGACACATCAAAAATACAAAGAGAATTAAAAGAATCAAATACCTAATATCTGAGTTTCAAAAGTCAACATCCAGGCAGGAAACACTATATTTAAAAGAATATTAAATGAATCAGAACCGCTATTTTCTTGAACTCCCTAAATCAAATGAACATTTCATGGGCTCATAGGATAGAGACCAACTTGCTCAGATTAAACCACAGTACCAGAGTCAAATGAGATGCATTTGGTTACAGAAAAATGATATTAAGTTTTATATATCTTGAATTTGTATCCTGGGATTCAGGACCCATTGTACATTACAAACATACTTTCTTGCGATGTCCTACTCATCCTTCCAGACCCAGGTTAAGAGTTCACATTCTTGTGAAGTCTTCTAGTTCTCCTCTAACAAAACACAGATATTTTCCATCTCTATTCCCACTGCAACTTGTATCTATTTCTGTTATACTATGTACTTAATTTTCTGACAGTTGTAGCTTGGGTGTCTGACTTGCTGTGAGTCTCCAAGATCCTCCAACAGGATCTTGAATCTGACTTTTGTTCTCATTCAGTGCCATGGATGACCACATCATAACTGCTCAGCGAACATGCCTGGGATTTATTGCCTTTGAGTTTGTAAAGTGTTTTGTCATATTGGAGAGATAAAGTGAATTTTTGTAAAATGAAAACAAGGGCAAAATGACAAGAGATGGGAAGCGGACAAGGCTACTGAAGCTATGGCCATAAAAATCACTTAGCTTCCTGGCAGCCAGGGTGAAAAGACAATGGTGCTGAGTTAAATAACTATTATTTGATATAGAATGCTAAATTACTAGAAATGGCCAACATGTCCTAGTTCTGAACTCAGAAGAATTTCTCATGTGGCAGAATAGAAGTTCATAACAAACTCTCTTGATATATTAACAACAAATGAAGCAATGTCTAAGGTAACATTATTTCACACACTTCTCCAGATACAAGGCAAAGTACATTTTTAAAAAAAATAAACAGAGATGAGGTCTCACTATATTGCCCAGGCTGCTCTTGAACTCCTGGCCTCAAGCGATCCTCTCGCCTTGGTCTCCCAAAGTGCTGGGATTACCAGGTAAAATATTAAATTGTAGTTCTGAGAACACATTGCTACACTGGAAGAGTTAATGTAATATAGCACATGCATATCTTTTTCTTATGATCAGAATGAAAAAAAGGTGAAAGTTAGAGAATCTCAGGAAATAAATGACTAGCCTGTTCTGATCCTTCTGGAGAAGCAATTGTCTCCATGGGTTTTCTGATGGGGATCTGTCAGGTGTAGATGGTTCTGTCTTGTTGATTGAAAGGCAACTGACTTGCTTTAGAATTTAGGCATTTAGGCAGCGAGGCTGACACCTGATAAAATAATTAGAGCTGAACAAGTGTTTCTTATCCCTGGAGGTCTGCTATAGTTAATACCTTCAGGCACGGCCAAAACTTTTCTAAAAGAGGCCTTTTAGAAAGGCACACATGCTTTAACACAAAGTAAAATAAATCCTAGTGTTTCCTATCATTAAGAATGGATAAGATAAATTTAGCTGAGGGGACCGGGGTATCACAGGTTACCAGAAGGCTGTCATTAGCAATACTGTGACCTTGGTAGAATGTTTCATTCTTCACCACAATTGCACCACCTATGAGTCTATGAATCAGCCTTCTCAATGATAAACTTAGTATGCAGTAAATTTGTATATGTTCACATTATTACATAAAAATTCATGTCATTGTTTGTTCATAAGCAATTTCTTTTCCATCAAATCTATATCTCATTTCTCCAATCACAAGATTTTATTCCAAATATTTGGCCCATTAAAATGACACAACATTCATAGGCTTATTGGGTCAGAGAATAGTGAAAATGTTTTTATTCTTTCATTTAGTCACTAAGGAAGAAGTTAAATAGGTTTAACTACAAAAAAGATCCTGACCACAGACATTTAGGCAAACAAAAAGATATAGAAAATATTTTCAATATCATTCTTAAAAACTTCCCAATTTTTAATATTTAGTGGGCAAGCAAAAATAAAAATGTATTTACTAGGAATGAGGATTTAAAGAAAGATTTTTCATGAAAATATAGAAAATCTTTTATTAAAATAGAACAAGTTGGTGGGGCACGGTGGCTCATGCCTGTAATCCTAGCACTTTGGGAGGCCAAGGCGGGCAGATCACTTGAGGTCAGGAGTTCAAGACCAGCCTGGCCAACATGGCAAAACCCCATCTCTACTAAAAATACAAAAAATTAGCCAGGTATAGTGGCAGGCATCTGTAATCCCAGCTACTCGGGAGGCTGAGGCAGGAGAACTGCTTGAACCCAGGAGGCAGAGGTTGCAGTGAGCCGAGATCGTGCCATTGCACTCCAGCCTGGGTGACAGAGCGAGACTCCATCTCAAAAAAAAAAAAAAAAAAAAGGACAAGTGGCATTTAGTGACTTCTACCAGCTCTCTAATTCTTACAACTAGTTCTTATTTTATTCCTCAAGCTTATATCTGCCCTAATTTTAGAATTTTTGCCCTTTTAAATATATTTTATTTTTGGAGCAGTGTTAGGTTCATAGCAAAATGGAGCAGAAAGTATAGAGGGTTCCTGTATACTCCCAGAACCCCTCTACGTGCAGGCCCAGCCTCCCTCACTATCAACATCCTGCCCCTCAGCGGTACATTTGTTGCAAACGGTGAACCTACACTGACAATCATTATCACCCCAAGTCCATAGTTTACACCCCTGTGTTCACTCTTAGTGTGCCAGGCCAATTCTCCCTGACAATCACACAGACAGGCCTGTATGACAGTCACACAGGCCTGCGTAGCACTTCAGTTACACAGATAAATTTCCACAGCACTGCCTTAACATTGAGCAAATAGTTAAACCTAGGAAATCAGTGCCCAGACATCAAAGCTAGAAATAAAATATTTAGTCAGTAGGAGCCTTGAATGGGCTTCTCCCTAAACAGGAGCAAGCCAAAATAATAGACAGTCTTATATTCGTAGTGCCAGAAAACCCTTCTCGGGTTGACAAAAATCTGAGACGAGTCAAGGTAACAGAGGCAGCTGTTTGAATAGATTCATTGTAGAGTATAAGGCAGCTCTCTGGACCAAGCTGTAAAGAAGATGAATTAGAAATAATCACTCCGGTACCACAGTAGACAGGCCTTGAAGGTACTGGGGCCTTCACAGCTTAATCGGACTTAGCAACCATTTTTTGGCCTCTGACCTTCTAGTAAAACAAAATTAGTTACCTATAGACAGGCGAATGCTATACTGCAGGTGGGCACATAACCCCAACCTATGTAAGCACTAAGAAAACTGTAACACTTTGAGTTGGTCTGGTGGAATTATTTATCTCTGGCTTTCTCCCTGTATCCGGTTACAGCAATAAATTCTCTTCTTTCCTAGTTTGTCTGCTTCTCATTATTGGGCCTGGAGAAAAATGAGGCTGGACCCGGCTTGGTTCTTGGAATACTAGTGTTGTATATTTTATCGACTTTGAAAATGTCTAATGACATATATCCACCAATGAGTATCACATAGAATAGTTTCAATGTACTAAAAACTTTATGTTCTATTTAATCATCCCTCCCTCCCTCTACCCCTGGCAACAACTGACCTTTTTACTGTCCTCATAGTGGTTTTTTTTTTTCCCTAGAATGCCACATAGTTGGAATCATACCTTTTCCAATCAGCTTCTTTCACTCAGTAATATGGATTTCTGTTTCCTCCATGACTATTCATGGCTTGATAACTCATTTCTTTTCCACACTGAATAATATTCCATTGTCTGGATGTACCACAGTTTACTGATCCACTCACATACCAAAGGATATCTTGGTTGCTTCCCTGTTTTGACAATGATGAATAAAGCTGCTAGAAACATCATTGTGCAGGTTTTTGTGTGGACAGAATTTTTCAGCTCACTTGGGTGCATACTGAAGAGCAGGATTCCTGTGTCATATAATAAGAGTAAGTTTAGTTTTGTGAGAAACTGCTAAACTGTGTTCCAAAGTGTCTGTACCATTTTGCATTTCTACCAGCAACCAGTGAGAATTTTTATGGCTCCACATCCTCCCCAGCATTGGTGTTGTCAATGTTTTGGATGTCGGCCACGCTAACAGGCATGTAGTGGTATCCTATCCCATTGTCGTTTGCATTTCCCTAATGATGCATGATGGGGAGCATCCTTTCAGATGCTTATTTGCCTTCTGTATATTTTCTTTGGTGATATATATGTTCAGGCCTTTTGCTCATTTAAAAAATCAGGTTTTTTTTTTTTATTGTTGACTAAGATTTCTTTGTATATTCTGGAGAACAGTCCTTTATCAGACACGTCTTGTGCAAATATGTTCCCCTAGTCTGTGGCTTTTCTTCTTCTTCGACTGACAGTGTCTTTCACAGAGCAGAAGTTTTTAATTTGAATGAAGTCCAGCTTATTTTTTTTTTACAGGTTGTACAATTGGTGTTTTATCTAAAACATCATGCCATAAATGAGGCCATCCAGCTTTTTGCTGATTATCTTCTAGTTTTGTGTTTTACCTTTAAATCTATAACCCATTTTGAGTTCATTTTTGTCAAGGGTGTAAGGTCTGTTTCTAGATCCATTTTTTCATATGGATGTCCAATTGGTCCATCATCACTTGTTGAAAGATTTTTCTTCACCGTGTTGCCTTTGCCCCTTTGTCAAATATCAGTTACCTATATATTATGTGGTTCTATCTCTTAGCTGTCTATTATATTTCATGGATCTATTTTTCTTTACTTTTGCCAGTACCACTCTGTCTTTACTACCATGGTAGAATATTTTTAAATGAAAGGAAAAAAGTTATGGGGACACAATAAAACAAAAGCCACTTCTGAGGTGGAAATTTTTCCGAGTGTTTGCAAATATTAATATGTAGTTGAAGTTATAGATGTGTGTATAAATAACCTGCTTGGTTTTCTGTTTTTTTGTTTGTTTGTTTTTGAGACAGGATCTCACTTTGTCACACAAGCTGGAGTGCAGTGGCATGATCTCAGCTCACTGCAAACTCCATCTCCTGGGTTCAAATGATTCTCCTGCCTCAGCCTCCCAAGTAACTGGGATCACAGGTGTCCACCACCACACCTGGCTAATTTTTGTATTTTTAATAGAGACAGGGTTTCTCCATGTTGGCCAGGCTGGTCTCAAACTACTGGCCTCAAGTGATCCGCCCCTCTTGGTCTCCCAAAGTGTTGGGATTACCGGCTTGAGCCACTGGGCCCAGACTAGATTTCTTTTTTTTTTTTTTTAACATAAAGAGCAAGAAATTATACACTTCCTTTCTGTCCCACTCACGATCCTAATTCTCTCCTCTATCATACCAAAATTCCATAAAAGACACATATCTATACTGTTGACTTCCAATTCAGCTATTCCATTCTTTCTTGCTTTTGCAACAGTTTATTTTGAAAAATGACAAAATAAAAAAGCTGGAAAAATTATACAATTAATAAATATATAGCCTTCACTCAGGATCATCAACTCTTAATATTTTGCTACATTTCCTTTCTCTCTCTCCTTCACACTTATTCTCTCTCTCCATTTTGCTACCTACTTCAAGGCTGGGGTAGAAAGTATGATCAGATTTCTTGTGAGGATGGAAATCTGGGTGATAAGTGAACCACATACCATTTTCAAAGTAAAACTTGGTTGTGGGGCATCAAGACCTTAGAGTTTTGGGCTGCTGGTATAACCATTGGCAAAAGAATTGTTTAGGGATTTCTACTAAGGAAGATAAGAAAGAGTTTTTCAGAGTTTTGACAGCCCCATTTTAGTTCGGCATGATCCTATGTGCCTAAAGGGGAAAGGAACCAGAATTTAAACTGTAGCCCAGATGAGTGTGGATATGTGTGTTCCCATGTTTCTGAGAGTTGTGCCAATATTTCTTTTTATCTTTTCTTTTCTTTTTTTTTTTATAGACAGAGTTGCTCTTGTTACGCAGGCTGGAGTGCAATGGCTCACTGCAACCTCCGATCTCGGCTCACTGCAACTTCTGCCTCCCGGGTTCAAGCGATTCTCCTGCCTCAGCCTCCCGAGTAGCTGGGATTACAGGCAAACATCACCACGCTGGGCTAATTTTTTGTATTTTTAGTAGAGACGGGGTTTCACCATGTTGGCCAGGCTGGTCTCAAACCCCTGACCTCAGGTGATCCACTCGCCTCGGCCTCCCAAAGTGTTGGAATTACAGGTATGAGCCACCATGCCCATCCACGTTGTGCCAATACATATATTTTTTAAGACGGGTTCTCACTTTGTCACCTAGGCTGGAGTGCAGTGGCACAATCTTGGCTCACTGCAAGCTCTGCCTCCTGGGTTCACGCCATTCTCCTGCCTCAGCCTCCCGAGTAGCTGAGACTATAGGCACTCGCCACCACGCCCGGCTAATATTTTTGTATTTTTAGTAGAGACGGGGTTTCACCGGGTTAGCCAGGATGGTCACAATCTCCTGACCTCGTGATCTGCCCACCTCAGCCTCCCAAAGTGCTGGGATTACAGGCGTAAGCCACCACGCCAGGCCTGAGTTGTGTCAATATTTCTTTTTTGCGGGGGGGCGGGTGGGGGATGGTGGCGGGAGACAGAGTCTCACTCTGTCACCCAGGCTGGAGTGCAGTGGCACGATCTCGGCTCACTGCAACTTCCGCCTCCTGGGTTCAAGCGATTCTCCTGCCTCAGCCTCCTGAGTAGCTGGGACTACAGGCGTGCACCACCACACCAGGCTAATATTTTGTATTTTAGTAGAGGCAGGGTTTCACCGTGTTGCCCAGGCTTGTCTTGAATTCCTGAGCTCAGGTAATCCGCCTGCCTTGGCCTCCCAAAGTGCTAGGATTACAGGCGTGAGCCACCACGCTGGCCAAGTTGTGCCAATATTTCTAAGAGAACGGGTGATCAAAGAATCCAATCGATTAAGATAAGGAAGGAGGAGATAATCACCTGGGACTACAACACAAAGATAAAAAAAATGCTGTGCCTCCAAGAAATCACAAGGAACACCCAAGACTGATTGAGATTCAAGAGAATGGGGCCCCCAAAAGAAATTAATTTTTATATACAGGAAAATAAATTTGTATTTGTTGATCATGGGACCTTATGGACTAAGATTTTTATCAGCTACTTTTATCTCAATTAAAGTATCAGTTTATTAAGGAAAGTAGATACAAGTTTTAAACATTGATAGTAAGCATCCCAATAATAAAGGAACTTTTAAAAGAATTCATGTCTCAACATCTCAGCATTCTGTTCTGATTTATGTTTTTCAGATTGTTTCCAGTTCTTGAAGACATACACATATAATTTGACACAGATGTAAACAACGTGCTGATGCTGCATTGAAATCTGAATTTTATCTTAGCTTTATATTGTAAACATTCTACATGATACACCGTTTTTAGATTTATATTTTAATCATTGTATACCAGTCTGTCACATATCAAAATCGACTTAATCACATTTTCCAATTTTTGGATGTTTAGGATTTTGTTTTTCTTATAATAAAGAATGTTGCAAAGTACACTTAGGGCTCTAAAATATTCATATGGCTTATCCTTCAGGAATTATCTTCAGCTTAAATTCCCAGAAAAGAACATTCTCCTGATGTTGATTGACTAATGTCAATTTCTACCAGCAACAAATGAGAATTTTTATGGCTCCACATCCTCCCCAGCGTTGGTGTTGTCAATGTTTTAGATGTTGGCCACGCTAACAGGCATGTAGTGGTATCCTATCCCATTGTCGTTTGCATTTCCCTAATGATGCATGATGGGGAGCATCTTTTCAGATGCTTATTTGCCTTCTGTATATTTTCTTTGGTGATATATATGTTCAGGCCTTTTGCTCATTTAAAAAATCAGGTTGTTTATTTTTTTATTGTTGACTTCTAAGATTTCTTTGTATATTCTGGAGAACAGTCCTTTATCAGACATGTCTTGTGCAAATATGTTCCCCAAGTCTGTGGCTTTTCTTCTTATTCTACTGACAGTGTCAGTAGTAGTAGTAGAATTTTTGTCATTGATATTGTTAGGTTGGTTATGTTTGCACTGAAAAATGTCAATAGTAAGTATTATTGTTTTAAATGTTTCCATGTTAAGTGAAAATCTTTAAACTTTGAGGAAGCTTAAAATCATGCTACACAAAGACACCAGTATTGGTCACAATAGAATAAAAAGAAGGGTGTAGATGAGAAAGCAATGGGTGAACAACATTTTAAGATAAGGAAAAAGATTAAGGCAAGACAAAATAAAATGAATTCAAATGTACATATTTGTTTTTCTAGATGACAGGATAAGAATACCTCCTGCAGGTCACAGTGAAGATTTTTGTTGCCTTTTAAAAACAAGTGTTTGCCAAAGACTTCAAGGAATATGGGATTATGTAAAGTGACCAAACCTTTGACTTTTTGGCATTCCTGAGAGAGAAGTAAAAGTAAACAACTACTTGAGAGAATAATTATTTGAGGGAATAATTTAGATAAATCTCCCTAATCTTGCTAGAGAGGCCCAAAAATAACGCTAAAGAAAAAAATCTTAAAGACAGCTGGAGAAAAAGGTCAAATCACCTATCAAGGAAAACCAAGCAGACTAACAGCAGACTTTTCACAGAAGTCCTACAAGTCAGAAGAGATTGGTGGCCTACTTTTTGCCCCTTTAAAGAAAAAACATGCCAAAATTTTAGAATGTTATACCCTGCCAAAGTAAGCTTCATAAATGAAGGAGAAATAGTCTTTCCCAGACAAGGAAATGCTGAGAGAATTTGTCACCACTAGACTGAACCTATAAGAAATGATCAAAGGAGTTCTAAATATGGAAACAAAAGGACAATTTTTACCATCAGAAAAGCATACATATTATGGCCAGGTGTGGTGGCTCATGCCTGTAATCCCAGCACTTTGGGAGGCTGAAGGGCAGGTGGATCATTTGAGGTCAGGAGTTTGAGACCAGTCTGGCCAACATGGTGAATCCCCATCTCTACTAAAAATACGAAGGTCAGAGATGCTATAAAGCAATGAAAAACTCCAAACACAATCAAAACTACAGAACAACTAGCTAATAACACTACGACAGTAACAGAACCTCACATATCAATCAATATTAACCTTGAATATAAAGGGCCTAAATGCCCTGTTTAAAAGATAAAGTGGCAAATCGGATTAAAAAGACAAGACCAAACCATCTGCTATCTACAAGAGATGCATGTACTGGCTAAAGATACATGGAGACTCAAAGAAAAAGGATAGAAAAAGACGTATGATGCAAATAAAAAACAAAAGTGAGCAGGAGTAGCCGTTCACATATCAGATAAAACAGACTTCAAACTAACAACAGTACAAGGACAAAGAAAAGCATTACATAATGATAAAGGTTCAATACAACAAGATTTAGCTATCCTAAATATATATGCACCAAACACCAGAGCACCTAGATCCATAAAACAAATACTATTAGACCTAAGAAAACAGATTGATAGCAATCCAGTAATAGTGGGGTGTAATCAATATTTGGGTGATGGGTATACTAGAAGCCCAATCCCCAGCATGATGTACGTAATACCCATGTAACAAATAAATACATGTACCCCGCTGAATTTAAAATACAATTTAAAAAAATAAAAACAAGTGTTTGTATCTTACCTCAAAAGTCATTTGGCTCTTGCATCTGTAGAAACTAGGAAAATCCAGTCCGTTGTTTTTTTCCTTATTTCTAGGAAGAAAGATTTATCCTGTATAGTATTTCTCAAGAAAAATAACCTAATAAACAGACAAGAAATAACAATACTCTGTCTCCAAAATTCCTCACTCTGAAATTAACTAATGATGCCCAAAGATTAGAAATAGACACTGTACATACATTATGTATACATATTTATACATATTTTACACACAAAAAAGTGCAAGTTTAAAAATTTCCCAATCTTGCATGTTAGTTGATTCATACAGATTTTTCAATATTTTTTCTTTAAGTGACATTAGTCCATTACCATATTAGAACATTTTAAAAAATAATCATATTTTCTCCTTGAAGATCTGTGACCATGAAAATTATGGACCTTATCAGTTTAAATGGTTCTTTAACGAATTAGCGATTCAAAAGAAGATTGCCTAGGAAGAAATAAATACCGTTGTTGATCATTATTTGATTTTCAGTTATAAACTAGAAAGGGACACTTTTAATGATGCGGATGCTTCCAAATATTTCTGTGTGATAAATTGTTTGCAATTTCCTCAGCATTTCAAAAGTGAGTGTCTTCAGATTAGAGTTTCTAAATAAATCCCAGTTCTAAGGGAAAAAAAAACCCAAATGTCTCAATTTTCTAATTTTGGTCCATATCTGTTGGATAATGTAAAGGGAAGTGCGCCTGCTGCCATGTGGCTATAAGTTTTTATAGCATATTAGAGAGTCAAGCAGTTTGGTGTGCCAAGCTCACACAACCTCATGGCAATAACTCCGCAAGTATGATCACAAAGGCAAGGGTGTGCTTAGTATCAGTGAGGCGAGCCATAAATAACCCAATGCCAATCCTTTGAACACTGATGCCAATGCTTTAATTTTGAACAGTAAAATCCACCTGCATATCTACTAGACATATCTTCCAGTCTGGAACCCTGATTCTTTCTCCTCCTCAGAAGGAAATCACATTTCTTCTGTGAGTCACTGACCCATGTTGCTAAAGTAAAACATAAGAAAAGCTGTTCCTGCTTCCTGCACAGAATCCCTGTTGGACACCTCATAACCCAAGTGATTGTGTCTATGGAAACAGGAGTAAAATCCAGTGGAATGCTCTTTCCTATTTCAAGGAAAATGTGTTTTCTTGGGTAGTATTTTCCAAGATAAGTAAGTTGAAAACAAACAAATAACAATCAGCCCTCATCCCATTCTTTATTCTGAAACTGATGATACCAATAAATGTAAGAAATAGTTACTATTTAATATACATAATCAAGTGTATTCATAGGTGAATATGTGCTGCTACATAATCCATCACCTGCTTTACTTACTCGCCAGGACAACATCTATCAAATTGGCATAATTTTTTTTTTTCCTGAGAAAATGACAAAACATTAAGCCGTGTTGCTTTTAAAGTACTTACTCATGTAAGTAACCCCTATTAAACAGTATTTTATTCTGCAGCTCTATATTATATGGGAACTAAATAAAATATTTTGGTTTGCTGTTGCTGTATAACAAACCACTTCAAATGTTGGTGAACTAAAACAGCAACTTTTCCCCAATAATTCTGTAGGTCAGCTGGGCAGTTCTGATATGAGCCAGCTTGGTAAGACCGGATCGTTTAAGAGGGCCCCACTCATGTGTCTGTGGCCTTAGCTGGTTCAGCAGACTTGGCATGCCTTGCTTACCTGGTCTGTCATACTCCAGGAGGCCAGCCTGGGCCAATTCACATGGTGACAAAAGAATTCCCAGCAGCAAAGAAAGTGAGCTCCAAGGTGCAAACACTGGCCACACTTTGCTTGAACTGCATTTGTTTAGGCCTCACTAACCATAGTAAGTCACATGGCCACGCCTAGATTCCAATTGCAGAGAAGTAGGCTCCATCCCTTGATTGGAGTGAATGAAAAATACTGTGGGTGGTTTTTTGTATTTGTTTGGTTTTTAAAAATCTATCACAGAGAAATGCTGGAAGAAAAACAAACAGCTGAGAGGCTACACTTCAACTTTTCCTTAACTATTTATTTAGGCTTTTCTGAGACTAGAACTTTGTGTTGGGGTGGAGAGATGAGGGGAATCTCCAGGTTGCAGCTATAAACAGAGATTCCTGAGAGTCTGAAATCCAATAAAGAACAGAGTGTTGGCTTCTGAATTAGAGCTTCAAATTGCTGCAGTTGAGAAGAAATGTCTCTGCCCCACACAATGTCACCATGTGGAAATTATATCTTCCAAGACATGAAGTTACCTATTGGAGGAAACATCAAGCCAAGCTTCCAGTGGATTCCTGTTGGGGTGATCAGACCCAACACCAGGTCATGGGGGCAATGAAGTCCGGTGGAGTCAAAGGATTGAGAAAAAGACAGTTTGAGAAGTGGGACCAGGAGGCCATCATGATTTTGGAGGCTGCAAGGGCCCTGAGCTCTGAGAGCCCACACTATTTATTGGTAATCCAACAGAGAAACAGGTGGTGAGAATGTAGGGGTCAAAAATGGCAGCTGCATGATCTACAGCTGTGATGGTTTAGCATTTATATGGAACATGTTCTGCTACTTGAGATAATGGGAATACAATCAATCTAGGAGCCTAGGAGGGCTAGAAGCAAGGAGCCAGCAAGTCTAGACATATTCCAGGGGACATTGTGCAAGCCCTGCCTCAGCTTTCTTCCCAACACTCAGCTTTTTCCCAACATGCCCCCCTTCTCTTTTTTGTAAAAGAGAAGGTATCATTATTACTAGCTATCATTATTACTAGCATAAAAGGTGGCCTCTTTTAATTGAGCAAGGCGATTGTAGGCCGTGCGGCCCTTAATTGCCGGTTGGTGATCCAGCTTCATTTTTCTTAGCCCTTATTCAAACTGGAGTCACTCTGGTTTGAATGCTTCCCACATATTTCCCTTTTCCCTTTTACAAGAGGACCCTTAATCCTAGGGGTTGCAGAAGGATGAAGGTCCGTCTTCTGTAACTTCTTCATGCTGAATAGGGTCTCTTGTCTCTTGTATTCAGGATAGAGAGGAGCTGAGTCAGAAAGCATTGGTCCATCAAGCATCGTGACTCTGGTCGGTCCTTGTTCCGTCTTCGCATTCAGATTCAACTGGCTTATGGCTTATAATGGGGGAATCTGGTCCATGGTTGGGATCCACGGGTCCCTCCAGTCTCCCATTCCATGGTCATACACATCTTGAGGGCATCCACACGGTTCGTTCATCTCCTGCAAAAACACAAACATACCCTCACCCTCACCTTAGTAAACCTACTGAAACAGAAGCAAAAACTTTTGTGGCTGTAGCCGGGAGGCATGCCGTTGCTGAAGCATTTGTAACTCAGCTTCTGCCTTGTTTAATTACCAGGGGGTAAAACTTACTGTTGATTAACGAGAAGCAGGCCCCTTCTAACAGGAGGCACAGAGAAAACAAATCGAGGCTTAAAAGCAATCCTTAAACCTTCAATTTGCACTGTTCAGGTGGGTCCACTAGATGCTGTGGTTCATGACAGATCTTCAGATGTTTGGTGGGCACCCACATAGGTGCCTGATTGTCACGTGGAGAGACACAAGCAAATCCTCTTCCCTGTAAAATTATCTTTAGGCAGGGATTGGAGGAAGTAGATTCAGAGGTAAGGAGAATTTGGGGGTCTAATGGCTTCCTGATGTTTGATAGGTGTTCCCTCGGAAGTTAGGAATTCCCTTTCTCTCCATATTGCTGCGTGGGCATGGAGGACTAGGTAAGCATACTTAGAGTCTATATATTTACCCTTTTTCTTTCTCCTAATTCTAGTGTATAATGGCCCCTGCTTTTGCTAGGATGTCTCTCCCTAACAAAGGAGTGGGGCTTTCAGGCATAATTAGAAAGGCATGTGAAAAGAATAAAGTTCCCCAGTCACAGCTTAGTGGCTGGGAGAAGTACCTAGTGACTGCCTGTCCTAGGACCCCTCGGATAGTGACAGATCTGGAGGACAGTTATCTGGGACAGGAGAGTAAGATTGAGAAGCCCGTGCCAGTGTCCAGGAGACAGTTAACCTCCTGGCCCTCAATGGTCAAGCATACCTGGGGCTCAGTGAGGGTGATGGCATGGGCTGGTGCTTGCCCTGGGCACCCTCAGTCCTGCTGCTGGATCAGCTTCTGACTCAGAGGACCTTCGTCCCCTGGAGCAGTAGGCCTTCCAGTAATTCCCTTGACATAAGGGGCATGGATGAGGGGGCGGCTTATTTCTGTTCGGACAATCTTTTTTAAAGTGTCCTTATAGACCGCACTGGAAGCAAGCCCTATTAGGCATTCGATTTGCCCAGCCTTCCCCTTTTCCAGAGCCTCCAAAGTCTGCTTGCCTGAGGGCCATGACTAAAGCAGTGGCCTTTTTTTTTTTTTTGATCCCGTTTGTCCCATTCCGCCTGCTCCTCCTGATCTTTGTTATAAAAAACTGAGGTTGCCAAGTTCAGTAGGGTTTCTAAGTTTTGTTCCGGGCCTAAGGTGGACTTCTGAAGTTTTTTCTAATGTCTGCAGCTGACAGAGTGATACACTTATCCTTTAAGATTAGTTGGCCTTCAATAGAGTCAGGTGACAGAGAGGTATGCTTCCTCAATGCCTGCCTTAGTCTCTCCAGAAAGGCATTAGGATTTTTTTCCTTTCCCTGTGTTATAGTGGACATCATTGAGTAATTCATCGGCTTCTTCTTAGTTTTCCTTAGTCCTTCTAACATGCAAGTTAGCAAATGTCTGTGGCACCCATCTCCATGTTCTGACTCTGTGTCCCAGCGAGGGTCTACACTGGGAACTGCCTGCTGGCCTGTGGGGAATCGTTCTCTTTGCTCTGTTGTCATCCTATCATTGACCTGACTGAGACACCAGAGATCACCAAACTCTCGGGCTGCAGTTATGGTGGCATTTCTCTCATTTGGGGTTAGTGTCTGATCTAGCAGTAACATTATATCTCTCCATGTCAGATCAAAGGATTGTCCTAACCCTTGTAAAACATCAATATAGCCATCAGGGTTATCTGAGAATCTACCTAGGTCTATTTTAAGTTGCTTCAAATCTGAGAGGGAAAAAGGTACACACACTCTGACTGGGTCGAATTCTCCAGAATACATCTTAAGGGCGTTTTTGCCTTGGGGGGAACATTTCCCATCTGAAAAAAAGAACATAGGGATGCCAGCACCCCTAGTCATTTTCTGATGAGCATTAGTCCTAGAGTGTCCTCTATGGTCCTAATGCTTATTCCTTTCCAGGGTACATAATCACCCATGGACCTCTGCTTATCGGATTAGTTACGCTCACCGATGTAGCAGTCCTGCACCTGTTTTCCCCTTTCTTGACCACAAAGAAAAGGGTCCGGGCTGCTGGATTCTAGTGGTCCTTTACCAGTGTGCCCAACATTGCCTTTGTGCTCAGGGGTGAGTCCTAGAGCTGGGCTGGGTTCCTGAGTATTTCATAATAACCCAGCTGCCCCTTCAAGATGCACTCCCATAAACAACAGTTCTTATGCAAATTTGTTTCAGAGAGGGTGTAGGTAACCTTTTGAGTCAGGATTGAGATAGAGTTTTTTGATTCTGTGAGTACTTTAAGGCTTGGCTGAGTGCAAACAGCTCGCATGTTTGAGCAGATCAATTATTAGGCAACTTTCCTAACTCTGCTTCTACAAGAGTTTCCCTATCAATTACTGAATACCCATTGTGTGTGTGTGTGTTTGTTTTTTTCCCCTCAATCACCCAGGAGGAACCATCTATCCTCCTGTCCTGAAGGGAGTCTCTCCCAGTTCTGGTTGGACCTTTGTATGGTAATTAAGATTTAAATCCCTCATTAGGAAGCCTGCTGGGTTAAGGGAATTTTCAGTGGTTAATGTTAAATCACCTTTTTCTAACAGAATAGCCCCATACTTTAAGATTGAGTTTATAAGCTACCTTTTTGCTTTTTTCACTTAGGATAGCTCTGAACTGGTGAGGTGTGCTCACAATGAGGTTACCTCTAAAGGTTATTTTTCTACTTTCTTCTGTTAGCAAAGCAGTTGCCGCTACCGATGGAATGCATTTGGGCCATCCGCGGGTTACTGGGTTAAGGATTTTTGTTAGGAAGGCTACTAGTTGTCAGTGGTCTCAGTGCTTTCAGGCTATGCCCTTGTTTACACTGACAACAAGGTAGTATTGGAGTGTTATAGGGTCATGGAGAAGACCTCCATTTATCAATTATAGGTTTTACATTTACCCTGGCTTTTAAAGGAATAGGGTACGCTGTTTTTTCTTGTATATATCTCTTTCTTTCTCCTCTGTAGATGGGTTTTGGAAACAAAGTGGAAGGACATTTGCTCGTTGCCCCCATTTGCCACTATAGGAATATACGCCTCCCTTTAATTTACTGAATTTGTTTTCATCCTGATCTATTATGTTGTTGTAGACCCAGTTCCAGCTGTTAAAGTACTAGGTTATCAGTTCTAAGGCCCTGGGCAAGGAGCCAAGGCTTGAAGATTGTATTGCAGGGGGGGTAAGCTGGGTAGAAACTGGGGAGCAGAGCATCTTAAAAGAGCATCTTATAGTTACGGGGAATTACCATGCTTCAAGGTCTCTCTCGGCTCTAGCCTTTTGAATAGAATTTTGTGTAGCACCACCAATTGCTCCAGGTTTTAATGTTTCAACTACGGGAGCAGTAAGTTTTGTAGCCAATTCATCTTCTTGCCCATTAAGAGGAGAGAGGAAGTGGCCTTTCACTTAATTCAGCAGGTGGAGCTGATGGGCTAGTAAAACATATCCTTTCTTTAAATTTCCTCCGTTTCCTGTTCCTCACATTCAGAATCTGAAGTTCGATTTTTACACTCGTCTTCCTCTTCCTCATCTGAATCTGCCTCATCGTCTGTTTGAAATGGCTCAAGAGCTGCTTTTATTAGCACCCACAGTGAACAAACAGACTGGAATTTTTGCTCCATCTTTATACACTTTTTTAAAAACCTCTTCCAATTCTCTCCCATGCATCCAACTCCATAGTCCCTTGTTCTGGGAACCATGGGCAAAACTGCTTTACTGCACTAAAGAGTGAGTGATAACAAATTCTGAGTACTAACTTTCACTCCCCCTCTTTGTGATAAATGCCTTAAGAAATTTAAATAAGCAGAAAGTCTGCTTTCACTTTGTCTCATTGTTACCCTGGTTCTTCCGAGTGCTCAGCTTTCCCGCTGAGTTTCTTTTAGACGTCCTCGAGTGTCCTTTGACGATGCATCCTCCACTTTCCCACGCTCTAGTGTTCCTTCACCAGGGTCTTTGTTGCCCCACATCGGGCAGCCAGGAATGTTGGGGTAATCAGATCCAACACCAGGTCGTGGGGGTAACAAAGTCTGGCAGAATCAAAGGATTGAGAAAAAGACAGTTTGAGAGGTAAAGTGGGACCAGGAGGCCATCGCGATTGTGGAGGCTGCGAAGGCCCCGAACTCTGGGATCCCACACTATTTATTGCTAATCCAACAGAGAAACAGGTGGTGAGAATGTGGGGGTCAAAATGATAGGCACATGATCTACAGCTGTGATGGTTTAGCATTTATATGGAACATCTTCTGCTACTTGAGATAATGGGAATACAATCGATCTAGGAGCCCAGGAGGGCTAGAAGAAAGGAGCCAGCAAGTCTAGACACATTCCAGAGAACATTATGCAAACCCTGCCTGAGCTTTCTTCCCAACACTCAGCTTTCTTCCAACAGATTCCCAGAGGCTCTTGCTGTAAACCACAGGAGCTCACGTCGTCTGGTTTTGGCCTACTGCTAACTACACCATCAAAATAGCTCAGCACTGCTAAATCCATGACTATCCTGGCCACAGAGATCTGGAGGTCATTGGCATGCTTCCACAATGGTCAGCTCTTTATAGGAAGGGGATGAGGAAGAGTTGCAATACAGCCAATGAGTGTTCCGCATTATGAGATCTCTCCACCCCTCAGCTTTCCCTGGGTCAGCCTGTAATGGGAATTGCAAAGGAGAGAGACAAAGTGTACAGGGTTCAAAGTGCTTTGTGCCTCAATATGTCTCCAAAGGATACATAAGTGTTTTTTTCAATAACCACACACATACAAATACATATATGTATCTGTTGAGATGGGGTCTTGCTTTCTCACCTAGGCTAGTCTTGAGCTCCTTTTCTGAAGCCATCCTCCCACCTCAACCTCCCAAAGTACTGGGATTACAAGCAGAAGCCACCATGCCAGGCCCATGCTTTTGTGTTTTTTATGGAGGTAGTTGTTGTTACTTCTTGTTTCCACTAAAAAGTAATTCCGGATTGCCTGGGGTAGGAATTGAGTAGAAAAGAGTATAGAGAGAAAACTGACTTTAGAATTTTTGATGTGAAACCAGTCTGGAAAATCCAGATCATGACCCTAACAATGAGAGTGGTATTAGCATTTATTGTGTCTCTACTCTAGGCCAGGGACTTTAATTACACAAGTCCATTTAATCTTCCCTATAAACCAGAGTGGGAAGAGTGATCTTCATGGCACATATGAGGAAATAGGTTTGGTTTTAGCTGGAGTAAAATATCAAGTAGCCACATTGAGGCTTTTGCAAGTCAGCCACTGACATTGCCTACCTGTCCTCTCTGTAGGCTCCTCTTCCCAGGGCACAGGCAATTTTACCTGTAGTTTCAGGATCGAGGTTGTCTCAGTTCCAAAGAAAATATTACTATATCATGTCCTTCCTAGATTTTTACCATAGTCATCAAAAATTAATCATGAATTACCAATCAATTATTTAGTATAAAGACCAAACTTCTCAATCTAGTATCTCATTTCTAGTAACTCGGGTTCTACTTTTTTCCCTCTACCCTGTCTTCCTGCATTTTAATCTATCTAATCCATTGTTCCTTCCATAACTCAATTCCATTACCCCGTCAGAGATGAGTCTCTGTGTTGTCTCTGTGATTAGTCTCTGTGTTGAAATTAAGGACGAGTTACTTGCTCTCAGACTTCCTTGATTTCTTCTGCTTGTTAGCCTTGGTTTCTGAAGAGATCTAGCTCTTCTTCGTCAAGTTTTCAGAAACTCTGAGACATGTTTCACGTCAGACCACCTCTGACAGACTGTTTTCATGAACTATCACTGTTCATTTTATTTATTTATTTATTTATTTATTTATTTATTTATTTGAGACAGGATCTCGCTCTGTTGTCCAGGCTGGAGTGCAGTGGCAGAGTTATATCTTACTTGAACTACAACCTTGAATTCCTGGGCTCAAGTGATCCTCCTATCTTAGCCTCCCAAGTAGGTAGGGTTATAGGTCCATGTCATCATGCCCAGCTCGTTTTTGTTTGTTTGCTTGCTTAATTTTTTTCTTTTATTTATTTATTTATTTGTGTAGAAACACAGTCTTGCTATTTTGCCCAGGCTGGTCTTAAACTCCTGGCCTTAAGAGATCCTCCCACCTCAGCCTCCCAAAGTGCTGGGTGTTTGTGATATTTATTTATCACCAAGATGCCATCAGTACATTTTGTCTCTAGCATGGGATTCTTTCCAGCATTCACAACTTAGTTCTCTTCTTACCTGTCTCATTTAAGTGCCAGGTTTGGAGAGAGGGGGTTCAAAATAATGGGTCTAGGTCCAGTTTGCCCTGTTTGTCTGTACTTTATGCAGTTAATCTCTAAGAGAGGGGCTGCCAAGATATAGGAACATTATATTTATATCATTACTTGTTCTAAGCAGACAAATGTTGATGGAACCAGGGAAGTATATTTTGTAAAGAAGTGCTATTAATAGAAATATTCAGTATTTTTAAAAAGAAAAACACAAAATAATTAGTTTTGAATTATCAAAAAGAAAATATGTTTTCTTCAAAAGTATGCAATAACCCAGCTACGGTGTTTTTTTCTTTTAAAAGCTTGGATGGAGTATTACAATGAACCTGACCAATTAAAAAACTTTAGAAGATTCTAGCTATTAATGAACATATATTTTACTTCATTAATTTTGCATAAATGCCTTTTCTGATCATTCATGACCTAGAGAGTGGTCTAAGGTATTTACAAATTGGATGGATCACTTGCACACCATTAAAATGATCAACGTTGCCTTGACTTCTTTACTTGTTCCCATGACTACCATATAAATTTCCCGAAGCAATCATTTAAATGGCCACATAAAATTTTAGATGATTTCCTTTGGAAGGGTAAGAGACCTTGAATTAATAGGACTACTCTTCTGGATGTTTAGAATAAAAAAGGAATTATTCTTTCTCTTCCTTAAAATTATAAGACATTAACATACATGTGTCTTACATACAGTCTTATTAAGAAATTGCAATTGTAGTTTGTGTTTCTTGGATATTTTCTTTTTAACAATGTAAGAATGGACAAAAGTGCTGAATTCTTTAAATGTGGAGAGATCTATCACAGATTTCACTGAGAAAAAAATTATAATTATGACCTTCTACCTGGTTTTACAGTTATCGTATTTTAGATAAATTAGCCAGCCAAATGGCACTGCAAAATTTGCTTTTCATTTTTTAGTTACTTCCGTAAAAGCTTATGTAAGCAGTTTAATGTGTCCACAATTTTCTCTAAATTGTGAATATAAAAATGAGTTTATAAATCAGAAATTCTAGTTTTGTAGTATAATGTGACATTTTTAACCATTTGTAATACTATAAAATTAATTCCTGCTGAACATTTAACATTAAACCATCAACATACGTCTTGTCATGAATGTTCCAAGATTTAAGTAAAAACTTAGATACATATTTTTATAATATGAAAAAACATTCTTGTAATGAACACATATGTTAAGGCAGACATTTATTATGTGCATGAAATCTCTTCAGAAAAACTTCTATTCAAAAATATTTTGCAAATGTTAGGTAGACTAAATTTTAAAAATAGGACAAAAAAGCATATGACAATAAGAATGATACCACTCAATACAGGACTAGATAATGCAAATCATGACTGGCCTCCTAATTCTAATTATTTTAAAAGAAACTCATTTCAAACCCAACGCTTTTGAAAAAAGTTATTGATCTTAAAATTTCTCAAGCTGTAAATATTTAGGCAATCAACAATGTCTGATTTACTCAATTTTATTTTACATAACAGCCCAGGAGATATATCACTATATGTCCATATATTTCCTGAGGCAGTCAGCTGCAACTCCTAGGCAACATAGAATATTAATTCAGTTTAGTCTCCTGAATTTCAGGAAGTTTTGGTGCAAACCACATATTATATTTACTTTCTGTTTATGGGTTTAAAGATTAAATGATTTATTTCTTAAATAGCTGTTCATCTTTTTTTCTTTTTAAAACTAACATTTTATGTTCTATTTATATAGCAAATGATGCAAAATCAACCAGTCTATAGATTTATATAGAATCATGTTACTCGCTACTGACATTACTATAGAGTATAACTTACTGCCCCCTATGAGAAAAAAGTGAGTTATTTGTTTAATTTGAATAAATTATCATTTTGAGAGAAGCAAGAATATGTGATTGGCATACATTTTTACAAAAATAAACCTAAGAAAAGTGACCATATTTTAAAAACAAAGACACTAAATTAATTATTCTCTTTTGTCCTAACTAATAGGAGATTAGTTATGATAATACAGTTCAAACATTTTACTCATTGATTTCTGTTTGCATTAACGAAATATGTATTTTCTGATCCTGGGGTTGTGTCATATATTCTGCGCTTGAGCTGTTCTGATTTGAGAGAGAAGGTGGGAATAATCAGAAAAGAAATGGAGAGGTAGCTGACAAAACTATCCTGGCCTATATTCAGATTCTACCATCAGAAACGTATTTATTATTAATGGTCTTCCTGTAGGATACTTAAGACTGGATTATTTTAACAAATTATTTTCATGATGGTTATTGAGACCAGTTATTTTTACTATTACTATTTTTTAACTAATGGGGAGTTCTCATTCCCATTTTAGAGAAATGGGAGGTAGTTACCAGAGAAGAGTAAATCACTATGCCTTGACAGATGTCCCAGAGTCTTTCTGTGATAGGAACTGTGGCTTAGAGTAGGAAAAAGATGGGAGGCCAGCGAATATAAATACTATGTACTTGACAATTTTTCAAGAACCAGTGTTCTTTTTTGCTCACCTTTTCCGGATTATCCCTATTTCCTGGGTTTTCAACACAGCTAAGACAGGAGACCTTTGGCCCTTCAGACAGTAGCACCCCTTGACAGGGAGAATTTACCGTAAAATATTGTTGGTTTTTTCTGTTTTTAATATGCAGAAAAGACTAACACATAGTAAGGGAGGTACAGTGGAAAGAGGTCAGGCATTGGGGTTTGAAGATCTGTATTCAAATTTGATCTATGCCACTTATTAGCTATGTTAATGGTCAAGTTATTTAGCTTTCATATTTGTCAGGATGGCTAAGTTATACACTGGTAACAAATAATTTCCAAATATCAGATGTATTTTTCTCTCAAGTTACTTGCCACTGGTATTTGCTGCCTTCTGTTTGCCTCAATCTGGAACCCACTATCTGGAATTTGTCAATAATGGAACAAAAGAAAAGAGTTCTGGAGCATCATTTAGTATCAATTAAAGCTCATAACACATGGCCTAGAAGTTATTAGGTGGCTTCACCCCACCAGCGAGAGGCAATACAGTTCGATTATGTACTTAGAAGGCAAGTACATAATTATGTACTTTGAAGTGCTGATCTTAGAGGGTATCCATTACAGTGCAAATATCATCAGCCCTTGCCTAAATTTGTATTGCAACTGAAACTAATGATTTTTAACTGCAAGGACTTTTAAAAGGAAATAAAACCATTGGAAATTAAGCTGGAGATGAGTGTAATGAGGCTAAAAAACAATTGAAACCATCTTTTCTCATCGCTTCAATATACTACTTCTTACATTGTACATCATAATTATTGCCAACAGAATTTACTTAAGAGCAAAATAAGAACAGAGAGAACAGAGCTCTATTTATAATGTCAGATAGTGCGGGAGAGACCTTAGCTCCTTGCATCATGTCTCCCAATTCCTCTGATTTCAGCCTCAGCTGATGGACAGATTGTTTAAGATTGAAGAGCCCATTCATGCTTCATGGAGGGAAACAAGAGATTTTTTTCATACAACCTCAGTGAAGGAGACGATGAAGACGTAAGTCCGCATAAAACAACTCTTTGGTGAACAACATGAATGATAAGCACAGCATTTCTGAGCTTCAGTTTCTGCATAAATAATATAAAAACGTGGAGTCAAACATGATAATATATGTAAAACACCTGCTAGAAATAATGCCTCATATGTAATCATTTTAATAAAATGTAATTGTTAGTTTCACCAATTATTATCATTAGGATACTGAAGCCTAGGGGAAACTAAGCATATTCTAATGCATTACAGAAATAATTTCCGCTTCATAGAGATTAGCAATCTATGGCCCACGGACAGCATGCGGTCCACCACCAGTTTTCATAAATATATTTTAATTAGAACATAGTCACACCCATTCATTGTGCATTGTTTATGGCTGTTTTCACTCTAAAATGATAGAATTGAGTAGCGGCCACAAAGACCATATGAACCACAAACATGTACAATCTGCCCCTTTAGAGAAAAAAATTGCTGATCCCTGTTCTAAAGGAATAGCAAGTTGTTAACAAAGTAACCTGTCTTAGTTTGTATTCCCTTGAGACAAAGACCTAGGTGTGAGTAGTTTATACTGGAGTTGATGTGAAAGTAGGGGTGAAAGGGTGGCCAAAGTGAGACAGGGATGGCGAAAAAAGCTAACAGGGAGATGTATTATTGAGTTTGTGCCTGTGCACAGCATTCACTTGATTCTACTAGGTCCTGTTGAGAAGTGACAGAATGTCTACTACAATTTCCAAAATTATCACCCTGAGGACAGGAGGCAGGGGCATTTACTCACTGGCTTCTGTTTCCCAATAGGGGCTGCTACTGGAGGTATTACTCCAGGACTTCTGGCTTTACTTGCATATAGGGCACATGGACTTCATAATGTTGCAGAATGTTCTTGGCAGAAAGATGTATGGAGTATGCTTGAGGTGAGTAACTGTCAATCAGAACTTGTGTGGCACTGTCCATCAGCTGAGGCTAAAATCAGAGGAATTGGGAGACATGACGCGTGGAGCTAAGGTCTCTCCCACACTGTCTGACATCATAAATAGAGTTCTGATCTCTCTGTTCTTATTTTGCTCTTGAGTAAATTATATTGGCCATAGTTATGATGTACAATGTAGGAAGTAGTATATGGAGGGACTATGAGAGAAGATTGTTTCAAGACTGGCACTAGAGTCATGCCTATAATCTCAGTCTAAGGGGGTGATAAAAACAAGTGCCCAGAAGAAATGATGAAAAAGATTATTTACCACGTATAGTGGCAGTTTTTTCTGTAAAGGATAAGGTAGCATCTATCTGATAATAGCTGTTATATGCTTTGATCCTCTTAAGTCTGATAGCAATGCCGCTGATAAAAAATTTCCTGTTAGGGATAGATATAAAGTGCTGATCTTAGAGGGTATCCATTACAGTGCAGATATCATCAGCCCTTGCCTGAAATTGTATATTGCAACTGAAACTAATGATTTTTAACTGCATGGGCCTAAAAAAAGAAATAAAACCATTGGAAATGAAGCTGAAGATGAGTGTAATGAGAACAAGAAAACCAGACTGAAGAGCCCATTCACGCTTCATGGAGGGAAACAAGAGATTTTTACATACAATCTCAGTGAAGGAGATGATGGAGACATAAGTCTGAGTCAGATCATTCCAGGCATTTATCTGCTAAATATGGCTCTACTGGTGATTAAACAAAGTATTTCATTCTCTTTTTTAAAATAAAAGGACAGATATCAATAAAATTACTTCTAAATTTTACAAATAGGTGCCTTATAGTCATTTATTTTAAATTTTGAATTTGAAATCATAATGTAGTAGATAAGCTACAATGAGAAGATGAGAATGCTTTGAATAATTTTGTTCAAAAAATAACCACCCAATTGTCTTCATGGGGGAAGGAGTGCATTAATCTGTTCTTGCATTGCTATAAGGAAATACCTGCTGGGTGTGGTGGCTCACACCTGGGAGGCTGAGGTGGGTGGATCACCTGAGGCCAGGAGTTTGAGATCAGCCTGGCCAACATGGTGAAACCTCATCTCTACTAAAAATCCAAAAATTAGCCAGGCGTGGTAGCGGGTGCCTGAAACGCCAGCTACTCAGGAGGCTGAGGCAGGAGAATCATTTGAACTCATGAGGCGGAGATTGCAGTGAGCCGAGAGTGCGCCACGGCACTCCAGCCTGGGCGACAGAGTGAGACTCTGTCTCAATAAAATAAAATAAAATAAAATAAAATAAATAAAAAAATAAAAAATAAAAATAAAAAGAAATACCTACAACTGGGTAATTTATGATGAAAAGATGCCTGAAGGCCTCAGGAAGCTTCCAATCATAGCAGAAGGCAAAGGAGGGGGCAGGCATATCACATTGTGAAAGCAGAAAGAAGGGAGTGGGTGGGGAGATGCTGCACGCTTTTAAACTACCAGATCTCACAAGAACTCGTTCATTATCATGAGGACAGTATTGTATCGCTAAAGGTTCTTGCCTTAGCCATGCCAAAGATTTGGTGTGGCGGCAGCCCGTGTTGAGAGAGAGACACGGATCGGACCTAGAGAAAAAAAAAGCTGTAGGCTTTATTGAACAGAGTGACGGTACAAAGCTTCCACAGCGTGGAAGGGGTCCCGGGCGGGTGGCCAGTGTTAGATTTTTTGATCACCTTTTAAACTCTTTAAGGTGGGAAATACGTGCGGTGCCCCTGGAAGATGTTACCAGATCGAGAAACAAAGACAATTAACATGTCTCCGGTCTTGAGGAGAACCGAAATTGTAACTTAAGTTTTATCTACTTTATAACCTTGCAGCAGCAAGGGAAAGGAGACAGGATCTCACAGGATTTTACAAATTGTGTTTACAAGGGATTGGAATTGGGAGCATAGATAAGGTCTGCTGGTCACAGAAAAACGGGTTTTTAACATTCCTTTTAGTTTCAGGAGACGGGGAAGGGAGAGAGGACACAGGGAAGCTTACAGCAAAATTTTCGCTGTTTATAGCTTTCTTGGGGGAGAAAACACATGCACAAATTCTGATGTTGGGAATATTTTAAGCATATACCTTCAATATTATTCATCCAGGGCCAAAGTAAATCCTGATGCAGGAAAGGAGTGAATTTCACAGCTTTCTGAGCCCCTACTCAACCCAGGAAGCCCAGCTGGAACCTCCTCTCAGTATCAAGGAGGATGGTGCTAAAATATTCATGAGAAATACATCCCCATGATCCAATCACCTCCCACCAGGCCCCACCTCACATTTCAACATGAGATTTGGGTGGAGACACAGATGATTGAAACTGTTTCAAGGAGTAAAGAAGATTCAAGGAGTAAATCTGAGTACAGATAAAATTTAAAGAAGATAATTATGTTTTCTAAGAGCTTGCACAAAATGCTTAATATCAAAACTTTGTCTGTAAAAGGACTACTGCTTGCTTAAGCGAATGAATGAATGAGTAGACAGTCTAAGATGATATGCAACCTCAAGAAAACCCTGCATAGTTCTCCTCTCTAGTTAAGACCAAAGCTGTTAAGATTTTCTATACTACTTAAATAGATTCTCATTCTAAGCAGGCCAATCTCCTCTCCAGCCGCTGGGCATCAGGCTCTTTTGTAGTCCTGTATGATCTTCTTCCCCTGCAGCATACACACCTGCCTGTTTCAAGGTCTAGGTCAGTACCACATCTGTAGGAGGCCCTACTGTCACAGCTCCTGTCCACACTACTCCAATTGTTTTGGCAATTAAGTAACTAGTCTAGTCACAAATTAACACACTGCATAAAAACTTTACGTTTACCTAAAGTTTTACCTAATGTGTATATATGTTTTATTCTATTAGATTGTTCTAAGCCCCTAGAAGGGAGCAACAATTTTTTTTTTTTTTTTTTTTTGAGACAGGGTCTTGCTCTTTGAGCCAGGCTAAACTACAGTGGCATGATCATGGCTCACTGCAGCCTTGCGCTCCCTGCAGCCTTGACCTCCTGAGGCTCAAGCAAACCTCTCACTGCAGCCTCCCAAGTAGCTGGGACTACAGGTACACACCACCATACCTGGCTAATTTTTGTTTTGTTTTGTTTTGTTTTTTAAGAGACAGGCTTTTGCTGTATTCCCAGGAGGTTGGTCTTGAATTCCTGGGCACAAGGGATTAGCCCGCCTGGGTCTCCCAAAATGCTAGGAATTACAGGCTTGAGCAACTATGCCCGGCCTGGAGCAATGATTTCTGTAACTCCTTTTGTATCTTCTGATTCAACTTGTTGCTATGTTGAACGCTTATTTTGGCTTCACATATATTGTGCTTATGCTAGCTAGTCAAAAGTTATGAATGAATTGGTCATCTCTGAATTGCTACTGTTGCCATGTTAACAGAAGCTTACAGTAAAGTTGTCCTATATTCACATGCAATTAAACAAAAACTGTGGTTTCTGTTCTTTCACTGATAAAAGAATAATTTTTTCTTCTAAAACAGACAAATATACACAGTTGTTTTCTTTCCATTTATCTTGACTGTCTTTTAAACTCAAGATCTGCTCAACTCTTTCACAAGGCAACTTGTGGAAATCAGTATTCCCCAAAGTGACTGCATGTAAAAGAATCACTATGGAGGCTTGCTTAAAATACAGATTGCCAATCTCCACCCCAGACCTACTGAATTAGAGACTTTAGAGAGGAGAACTGGAATCTGGATTTTTATCACATACTCACCTTAGGTCTTAAATGCCCACAAGTTTGAAATACACTTACATAAAAAACTCTCTGAGTATCCCTTTTTAAACACTAAAAGGGACACAAAAATACTCAATGTATAGAATTACACTGGATATTGAATGGCATAAATATGATGAAATAATATACCTAGGGAAAACCCAAGGATCATAGACAATAATTGATAAACTGCAGTTGAGATTTTCCTATTCTCTTATATCATTTTATAAAATCTTACTTTGAAAATTAAAAAAAAAAAACTAGTAACTCAATAAGCATCCCTTTTAGAAAGTCCCAACTTTATGGTTGTTCTATTACTGTGTCAGCTTATTGACTCATTCCAACGTCTACTTTGTTTTTTGGTGAAGCTAGTCTTAGTCGATTTAAGGTAGAGATCAGTGGTTTAAGATAGAGATCAGTTCCAGAGGAGACCTGTGGTTGTGCCATGTCTTTTCTTCTGGGATTTTTAACATCCAATTTTCTAATAAGATATTAACTACTATTAGTCTGTCATTACTACAAGTTATGACATTTTGGGTTGAGTGATTAAAAAATACTACAAGTTAAATTTTGCATCTACTTTCACCATTTCTATATCTTGAAAATTACTATTAATGGGTCATCTGGGAATTTTCACAATGATCATTTTCCTATCTATCTATATTATCTATCTATCTATCTATCATCTTATCTGTCTATCAATATCTATCTACCATCTACCTATCTGTCTAGTTAGCTAGCTAGAGTGATTGTTTTCTACCTCTCAGGGACATCTGAAACTAATAGATTAACATCCTAATTAAAATGATATTTTTATTTCCCAATCTATTTTATATACAACTATTTACTGCAGATAATTCAGTAATTTATTGATTTTCTGTGAAATCTCAAAAAGTTCTGGCCTCCATCTTTTTTCCTACAGAAAGCAAGACTTTGTTTTTATTTTCGTTAGATTTCCTGATGAGCATTTTATTTTGAGTTCTCTAAATAAAGACATGGAGTTTAATATTACACCTGGACTTTGGTAGATACCTTAATTAACCATGATGAATTGAATGATCTAAGTATTCTTGGTCCCCTATGAAACTCAAGTTGATTTAATCAATGTAATTCAGACATACAACGTAGAACTTTAAGAAGTTATATAAATATCTCACTTGCCAACAGCCAACAAATACATTTGTTCATCTATGTTCCTATGTATCTATTTATTTATCACTTATCTATGCTTAGGATATTCAAGAATGCCAAAGAAAAGGAATAAACCATAATGATAATACATTTGCTATTTTTAAAACATTAACTTTTCATTGCATATGTTCTCTAGAAATCATTTAACTCTAAATTCCTTGAGTAAAAATTTGAGCTTCTCTTATAATTATATAAGTACTCACCTAAAAATACAAAACCAATTTCCTCTTTATACCAAAGTTTGCTTGTGAAATACATGATAGTTTTTCCTCTACAATTCATCTGGTCAAACTGTCAAAATGAATTACTCAAGTTCCAAATGGGCATTGTTTTTCATTTTAAAGTATATAGAATTTAGCAAGTTTTCCTAGGTTTCAAGGACTCTGATCCAATGACATGGACAGAATTGATAATTTGCCTGACAGAGTCTTGGAAGCTTGCTCTCAAGTGAGTAACTACTAATAACCTTGGGTACCTGAGGCATCCATGACTTAGATAGTTAATGTGGAAATTAATGTGAATGCTGTGATACTGACCAGGCATTTGAACAATTATCTTTGAATTATCAGTAAATCCTTTGAACTATAGGAAATCATGGGTGACAAAAGTAGAAACCTGTTCAGCTTTGGAAGGCTCAATATATGATCCCGTCTGCAATGTTAAGAAATTTTCCTAAAACTTCGTATGATCTTTCTGTCATCAGTCTTGTAAATTATGATTTTATTACTGGACAAAGATAAAAATAAATGTATTTTGGAAAAAAAAATTTAGTGAGAAAAATAAAATCCTCTAGGTTTCAGGAATACTCAAAGCTATGTAGAAAAAATTTTGCTTGGTTAATCTACTCATAGTAAATAAAATATTATAATTATTTACAGCCTTGGTAAGTTTAAGCTTGGGCAAGTTTCTTTACTTTTCTGATCCTAGTTTTGTCATAGCTTAAATTTTTGCACAAATACCTACCTTTCAGGCTTGATGTAAGGTCTAAGTGAGACAATGTGGAAGTCTAACTTTTAGTACGCTGCTTCCCACACGGTAATGAATGGATACTGTTGTATAATAGCAGTGCTTATTGTTTTTAACAACACTTTACTCAAGAGAAAAAAATAGAGCATATTAAAAGAAATGCGTTTTGGAAATATTTTGTTGAACATACACAGTTTTTATTTTTTTTAAGGTAATGCTACAGGTTCTAGTCCCCAAATGATTTGTTGTCATCGTGTAGAACTAGCCTCTTTAGTCATTTTTACTCATGTGTCTTCATAAAATGTCATGGATGTTCTCTCAGCCTCACAAAAAGATCTCTAGAGGGACCTTATTGCACCCAGGCTTTTCAGCTAAGAAAGGACAAAAGAAAAATAGATAAACATGAAGAGAGGTGTGACAATTATTGTAGCATTGAAGACTTGGTTTAATGTAGACCACCATATTTTAAATCAATATACTATTATACATCATGATAAATGTTAGAATGTAATCAAAGTAATAAAATTTGTAAAACTCCAGTGCATTCACATATTGGTTATTATAAGCTTATATTTTTTTGTTAAAATTTTGTACCAGTGCAGATAGTTTTTTATTATGAATAGTTAGGAAAAATAAAATCACCGTTAAATTGGCATCATTTCTGATGACAAAGAAGAGTAAAAAAAGTTAATATCACAATTCTTGTATTCTGGAAAACTTTCCGTATAACATAGATGACATCAACATACTTATTTTTTCATATCTCAAGTAGTTTTTACACTAGTGATTACATAATTTATTGCATTTTAAATTGTGATGAAAGTAAAAGCCTTATCTTTAAAATTTGATGATAACCACATTACCTTTTAAATCTCTTCTGGGTAGAAACATTTTACATGTAGCACATAACCGGCAAACAAAAATTCCTTGACTGACTAAATTATATTTTTTATCTCAAGAAAAAGTAAATCTCACACAGTCAGCATAAAAGCTAAGAAACAATTTTGAGTCAATAATATTCAGAAGAGGTTATTTTAGTGTTTTTACTTCACGTTTCTCTCCATTTTCCCTTTTGAATATTGTTTCTCCTTGCAGCCGGACACCACGTAAAGTAACTCAAGCTGTTTTCAGTGTATTGCCACACAAAAGAACAAAGTTAAACCTTAAAGCATTTTTATATTAATTTTCTGAATTACTTATTCTATAGTCATTGTAGTCATTGCATAAGTGTTTAGTTCATATTCTCTTAGTTTCAATAACATAAAATATCACAGAGGGCACCTAAAATATTTTACAGTTTGATCATGGGAAGAAGGTGGAGACAGGGATTCTACAATGCCATAGAAACATTGTGGGATAGGAAGTATTTTGATGTTATAGAGCAGGAAAATATTAAGTGAATAAATTTACTGGAAAATAGAAACATCTATTTTCTGAAGCTGAAGCTACTAATGTTAATTTACATGTCACTGTCGTGTCAGGAACACCCCTAAGTATAACTCAGGAATTTCTATGCCCCTTATACAGTAATTTCAAGAAAGATGCCATATAACTCCAAAGAAGAGAAAATAAAGAATTTACTGCTAGTATGTGGAAGTAGGGAGTAAAGAAACTGAGGAGAGGAACTGAAATTCTTCCTTTTTTATTAAATTTATGATTTAGGTGAAGCATGAAATAGCTAACCTGAAGCTGGCACTTTAGGAAGAACATTTATGATAAAGGATAATCTATTTGGAATGAACATTTAGAAATAAAAGTAAGATAACATGAATCATTACAAGCATCTCCAAGTCACTGGTTCAATTAGCAAGTGAGAAAAGTAAAAAGGGATTTTCAAGATAAGTGTTTGTTATTAGACTCTGAGTTAATAGACTATATTTTCTTAGGGCAGTTTATCCCTGCAATGAAAGTACAGAATGTGACTCTAAGTAAATTATAGGAACTGGAATACGGTTACAAGGAAACTTAAATGTAAAGTGTTTACCACTAATTGTGTTTATGTAACTCCAGACCAGAACAAAATCACGCAAGCAGGATATCTTTGATATGTGTGGGGGTCATTAGTGCTACTCACATCGGTTCCAGTTCTCATTCTGGGCACAAAGAATGATTGCATTTTATCTCTTCTTTTGAAGTTGGATGTGCCCATGTAATTTGCTTTGATCAATAAAATGTTTGTACAATTATGCAAATCATTTGAAGATGGAAGCCTGAAAAACCAATGCAGGATCACTATGTTCCCTTCCCCAAGTCTAACATTGAAGAAGCACATGTAAAGATGGAATTTTTGTCATCCTGGGTACATGGGTGATTGATAAATGGATGCTCTCATAGACCAATCATGTGAGTTTTAATTTAATTTAATTTTTTTAGAGACAGGGTCTCACTCTGTCGCCCAGGTAGGAGTGCAGTGGTGTGATGATAGTAGCTTACTGCAACTTCAGACTCCTGGGCTCAAGTGATCCTCTCATCTCAGCCTCTCAACTAGCTGGGACTACTGGCATGCACTACTGCTCTCAGGTAGTTTTTTATTTTTTGCAGAGACAGGGTCTTGCTGTATTTCCCAGTCTGGGAAACTCCTGGGCCCAAGTGATCCTCCCACCTTGGGCTCCCAAAGTGCTGGGATTATAGGCATGCACCACCACACCCAGCCTGAGGTTTTCATTTTTGTTTTTGGAGTCAGGGTCTTGATCTGTCACCCAGGCTGGAGTGCAGTGGCATAATTATGGCTCACTGCAACCTCGACCTCCTCAGCTCACATGATCCTCCCAACTCAGCCTCCTGAGTAGCTGGGACTACAGGCATGTGCCACTATGCCCAGCTAATTTTTATATTTTTTGTAGAGATGGGGTCTTACTTGGTTGCCCAGGCTGGTCTTGAACCCCTGGGCTCAAGCAATCTTCCTGCCTTGGCCTCCCAAAGTGCTGGGATTACAGGCATGAAGCACTGCACTGGGCCCAGCCTGAGTTTTTAAATGTGCTTTATCTCTTTAAGTCTCAGAAGAGCTGTAAAGTTGATGTAATCATAGTACTTACATTACAGGATTATTGTGAGAATCAAAGATGATTTATATCTTGATATGCTGCCCAACAAGTGGTAACTTTTAGGGTCGTTGTTAAAACTTTAAAAAAATTGGTAAAATGCTTAAAGCTCTCTCTAGAAGTTTTGTATTTTTGCATCTAAATGATACTTTATAAGTGAACTTTTAATTTATCATTTTAATTTTGAGTTTTTTCTTTTCCTTACATTGTTACTTGCTTCTGAAAATGTGTTAGCATGCAAAAGTCACTGCATTTCTATACTATGCTTAACATAGAATTCACATTAATAATCTCACTAGACAGGAAACTACATAAAGCAAAAAGTACATGCCTCCACCATTCACCCAGGAATGAATGGCAAAAAGGGCAGAGAAGAGAGTTATAGTGGATTAGCCTTTGGCTGCCCAAGGGGTTTATGATGTTCTAGGAAACTAGAAGTGAGTCCTTAAGAATCATGTTTCAGTACTATGAAAAAAGCAAGGGAGTTATTTTCTGAGAACTTGTAGTTCAAATCTACTTGTACCTTGAAATCACTCAAAAATATGTTAAAATAGACAAGGTCATCACCCTAGAATAATTTTTGGCTATGAAGCTTACAATTGATAAGAAAAGAGTTAACAACTCCTGGAAAGAAGGAGCTCACCTAATAGGTTAGGGTGTAAGTTCAAAAGGGCAAGTTCCTTTTCCCTAATAAATAATTTCGGTTTACAGTGTACACGTCTCACAAGGCTCCAGGATTTTCTGTAGAATATATTCAGTTATGAAGCTACTTAAATAAAGTCTTTCTACCGGGTTTTGTTGTAGTTGTTGTTGATTAGGGTTTGGCAATGCAAAAAGGGCCACTTAAATAATTAATTGGCATATCACTGATTAGCTGAGACAATATAACTATTACATAAATTAAAAGATTAAAATGAAGCAAGGAAGCTATTTTCATATTGCTTTTAAAGCAAGGTTTTCTGTTAAAGTGCAGGCTACTCAGAAGTTATTTTCAGAGTCAGCTCTGCCTTAATATTTCAAACAGTCTTGTAAATTTGTCTCAGATTTTTCCAATCCACACAAACATTTTATCAACCCACCCTTCTAGTGAGGTTAATCTGTTGAAATGAATGAAGTCAGTATTTAATTTTATTTATTGCACATATAGTTTTTCTTATCTCCCTGATCTGAGAAGAAAAAAGGAGCTAATTCACCTTGGCAGTGAACCCAAGATCTCAGTGCCTCCTACTTTGCTTATTTTTTTGTCCAGTTCGCCAACTAATAAGGTAAATTTACATGGATTGCAGTCCATGGCTTTAGATTGTTAAGGGCAACCACTAGGGTTACCAAAAATATTAAAGGACCAGTCTTCTCCTACCTGAGAAATCAGCATTTTGGACCTTGCTATAAAATAGCTTCTTACCATTCTGGAAGCTTCATGGTACACAGTTTTACAATTTAAAACCAATCTTGTCATTCACAGCGATTAAATAGAAGCATGGTTCTTTCTAAGCCTTCATTCAGCTTACCATTTAAAGGTACACTGGACTAAGAACTAAAACATTTAAAAATATCTGGCACCTTCCTAGTACTTTGAAGCTTTCTAAAGGAAGGTATTTTAATTGAAGCCTTACAACAATCTGGTAAAGGTAATACTATTACCTCAATTTACATAAAAGATCAGAGAAGTTAAGTGAATTGTTCATGATCACACAGGTTACACAGAAGAGGCTCAGGCTTAAATATGACTCAATTCCAAATTTGCTCTCTATGACAGCACTGTCCAACAGAAATATAATGCCAGCCACAAATGTCACTTAAACTTTTCTTGTGGTCACAATACAAAAAGTAAAAAAAATGCAATGAATTTTAATAAGTTATTTTACTTAATCTATTAAAAATATTGTCATTTCAACATGTGATCAACTTAAAAATGACTCATGAGATAGTGCACGTCTGCTTTTTTGTACCAAGACTTGGATACCCAGTTTATAATAAAGTACATCTCAATTTGGATTCAAAATTTTCATCAGAAATACTTAATCTGTATTTATATTTTATAAAACTTAAAAGTTGTATATTCACACAATTACGTTATTCCAAACATACTTAAATGTTTTCTAATAATGAAGTTCTGTATTAATTTCCAAAGTGAAATTAAATTAAATTAAAATATTTAGTTCTTTCATAGTGCCAATCATGTGTTCAGTGGCCAGGTTGCCAAAACAGTGTCATTGTATAGTGTCTGATTGTTTGTTAGGCATTAGAGTTTAGAGTCAGTTTCACATTGTTTCTTTCATCTTTCACATAATCAATTATTAAGAAAGAAGAAACAAAAGTAAGCAATTACATATTCAGATTGACTGATTTTTCTTTCTTGTTTTCTAGGAATATTTTAACAAGGCAAATTGATCAAAGACTGGGCTTTTCAGGGAGACATGTTGACATAAAAGAAAAAAAAAGCATTCATTCAGAGGTCAATTAGATACACAATATTTAAGAAAGCATAACTCATTTTCCTCATCTTTTAATCAAAGTCCTGGCTGTGGGCAGTCACTTCACGAGTTTTTGTTGAAGACGAAAGTAGTTTTCCTGTCCCCCTTCACTGTAGCACCGGTTTGTAGCTGTTTCCTCCATGAAATGTGTAGTTTATAAGGATCTTTGTGATATATTGGAATGTGGTAAAATAGTGATGGAGATGAAATTTGTCTTCCAAGCTGACATGGTTTGGATATCTGTTCCACCCAAATCTCATCCTGAAATGTATTCCCCAGTGTTGGAGGGTGGGGCCTGATGGGAGGTGTTTGGGTTATGAGGGCAAATCCCTCATGGCTTGGTGCCATTCTTGTGACCATGAGTTCTTGCAAGATCTGGTTTTTGACATATGTGGCACCCCGCCCCACCCCCATGCTCTCTCTTGCCCTTGCTATGAGATGTGAGATGCCTGCTCCCCATCACCTTCTGCCATGATTGGAAGCTTCCTGAGGCCTCCCTAGAAGCCAAGCAAATGCGGTGCCAGGCTCCCTGTACAGCCTGCAGAACCATGAGCCAATTACACCTCTTTTCTTGTAAATTACCCAGCCTCAGGCATTTCTTTATGGGAACACGAGAACGGCCTAATACACAAGTGTTATTAAAGTTTTCCTCACTTCTTTCTTCACTCTCTTACAGCTTCTTCACTACTCAGGCAAACTAGCTTCCATGCTGCCCTTTTTCATGAATTCAGATGATTTTGGACTAGAGAATTCTTCCTTTTTCTTCTGCTCAGTTTTAAATTTTGACTTCTTTCTTTATTTTTGAGACAGGACCTTCCTCTGTCACCCAGTCTGGAGTGCAGTGACAATCACAGCTCACTGTACCGTGAACCTCCTGGGCCCAAGCAATCCTCCCACCTCAGCCTCCCTAGTAGCTGACATCATAGGTGCACACTACCATGCCTCAGCTAATTTTTAAAAAAAAATGTTTTTGTAGAGATAGGGTCTTGGTATGTTGACCAGGCTGGTCCTCAAACTCCTAAGCTCAAGAGATCCTCCTGCCTTGGCCTCCCAGAATTCTGGGATTACAGGTGTGAGCCACCCTGCCTGTCCTCTTCTGCTCACTTGACTTACCCTATGACTAAATTCTTTCAGGAAAGGATGCTATAAACTCTTTCACTCTAAGGGATGATTGCCATCTTTACTAGAGATATGAAATATGGCATGATAATTTCAGTAGCAGCAGGCTGTGAAGAACATTTTGGGGTACAAGAGAGGTGTGAAGTCATACCACTTTATCAAGAACTCACTCTGCCTGACTTTCACAAAAAGCCTTCTCCCAGCTTCTCCTGCAGAAACTTTAATACAGAAGAGATCACTTATCTGTTTCATCTGAGTTTAAATACAACATAAAATTGAAAAATTAAGTTATATCTATTGCTAAGAAACCAGCTAAAAGGAAGTCTTTTTAGCTCATATAATTCAATTTGCACATCAGTCTTGATAAGGTAGTGCTTTAATATCCCATATATGTGTGTGCCGTGGAGGGCACTGTTAGAATCTACTTCATGCAGAGAGGATTTTTATCATAAAAATAAAAGTCTCTGATAATTCATGCCTAATTATTGGGTATTCCAAGACCCATCTGAAGGACTTGACAAACAATTATAACCTTGCACAATATGATGTTAAATAAGGTTACAAAAGGCTGGGGTTCCCAGAAGTTGCTCAGTTCCAAATGTTATGAAATATTCTGTCCAGGCTGCAGAAATGCTCCATTTCTGGGGCATTATCAGCAAACTGTTATAGCTACTTAGAGTTAGCATGAGAGGATATTTATAGTCTTCTCGAAAACTGTCCTCATTCATTGTTAAGTAGTCACCAAGGGTTATTTATAAAAGAGATGTCAGATATACAGAAAATGGACACATTAAGCCAAGTTTAAGAAAAAGAACATTACCACTCTCTCTCAGTTTCCCAGCATGTCCATCAGAGATAATCACTACTTGAATTATACTTTTTTTATTACTTTATGCCTTGTTTCCTTTATGGTTTTACAACATAGTTTTATTCCCTAAATAATGTGTGGCTCCATTTTCTTTTTCTTTTTAACTTTATATAAATGTAATTATTGTATTTCTTTGCAATTTTCTTTTTTTGTTGTTCAATAGTATATTCTCCCACCAACACTAAATAAATGATTTCAGTTGTTCTTCATTCTTTCTAACACTTGAGGTACTGGGTGTTAAGTGCTATTTAATTACGGCTTTTAAATACATTATTATATTCTCTTATTCATGTGTAGGTGTTCTTTATATATTCTAGATACTAATGTGTTGCAAAGAGCTTCTCCCAGTTTATGACTCATCTTTTCATCATATGGTGTCTTCTGATGAGATACATTCTTAAGTTGTCAAATTTGTCAATATTTCCCTTTCAGCTTTCTTTCTCTAAGAAATCTTCCTTTTATATTTAAGAAATCTTAGTTTTCTTCTGTTGATTAATATACCTTACTGACTTTCAGAATTTTGCCTTTTACATTTGCTTTAGTTTATCCAGAAACAATATTTGTGGATGGTGTGAGGTGGAGGTCCAATTTTATGTTTGTTCCCCATACGTGTACCCACATGTCCAGATATCATTTATCAAATTATTTGTTTTTCCCCACCTCAGATATCTTTAATATTTACTCTGTCACAAATGTGTAGGCTTATTTCTGGGATATCTATCCCACGGTCAATATGTCCATCTTTGTGTCAATATAAATATACCATCATTTAAAGGTATAATCAGTTTTGTTATCTCGTGAGTCAGATTTTCTCACCTTGCTCTACTTCTTCTGGTTGTATTGGCTTTTCATAGATTTTTGTTCTTCAATATGCACTGGAGACTCAGCTTTTACATCCCTTCCACAGACCTAAAATTGTTACTTTGGTTTGATACGTCTTGATTGGAAAGCTCTTTGATTATATAGATTAATATGGGGAAGAGTATTTATGATATCAAGTCATTCAATTCTTGAATATGGTACATTTTTCAGGTTATTTAATTCTTGAATGACTTTTTAGCAATTAAGTTTTTCTATAAGTCAATATACACCTTTCATTAGCTTTATTTTGGAAACATCACATTTTTGGTGCTATTAAATATGATATATATGTTCAAGCTTCCTGAATCCACACCTTGATTAATTTTATATATATAATACAATTTTAATTATATTTAATATATATAAATGCCCTCCTTATTGCTGGAAATGCTTGTTGTTTTAAAGTATGGTTTCTTATGTATATTGATCATAAATGTTTTCCTAAAATATTATATTATTATTGATCTTATTGAGATTTACTGACATATTTACCTTTTCTGTACTCTTCATTCCTTCATGCATCTCTGTGCTTCTCATGGATCATTTTCGTTTTGCCTAGAAATGCCCTTTTAGTGATTTCTTTAGTTTGGGTATATTAATTAAATACGTTCCTCAGTTTTTGTTTGTTTTTAAATGTCCTTATTTTGTCTTCATTTTACTGAGTATTTTCACTAGGTTGGCATTTATATTTTACTAGGGAGTTGAAAGTATCATTATATTGACTTCTGACTTCCTTTTTTTTCTTGTTGAGAAATCAATTTTCAATCTTATTAAATCTGAGGGAAATATTTCTTTTTATTCTTGACTGCTTTTATTTCTATGTTTTGCTTCAAATAGTTGTACTATGATGTATGTATTAGTCTATTCTCATGCTGCTAATAAAACATACCTGAGTCTGGATAATTTACAAAGGAAAGAGGGTTAATTGACTCACAGTTCAGCATGGCTGGGGAGGTCTCAGGAAACTTACAATCATGGCAGAAAGAGAAGCAAACACATCCTTCTCCACATGGCAGTAGCAAGGAGAAGTGCAGAGCAAAGGGGGATGGGAAAACCTCTTATAAAACCATCAGATCTTGTGAGAACTCACACTGTCATGAGAACAGCATGGAAGTAACCACTCCTGTGATTCAATTACCTCCCACCAGGTTCCTCCCATGACACATGGGGATTATGGGAACTACAATTCAAGATTAGATTTGGGTGGGGACGCAGGCAAACCATATCAATGTACATAAATATGGGTTTTTTTGTTGTTTCTTATAGTGGTTTATAGGATTTCTTAAATTTATGCCTTAATGAATTTTAGCATTCTAGGCCATTATCTCTTCAGATTTTGTTTCTGTTTTATTCTTTCTTCTTCTTCTTGAATTCCAATTACATCACAGGACTGGGTCCTTTATGACTTCTATATTTCTTTTTATATATTCATTCTTCCATCTCTTCAAGATTCATTCTGTATAATGTCTTATTACCTATCTTTCAGCTTATTGGTTCTCTTTTCAGTTGTTTCTAATCTGTTAACTACATCCATTAAGCTTTATTTCAAGTTTGTATATTTTTGTTATAGAATACATATTTGATTCTTTTTTATAGCTTCTAGTTATCAAATGACATTTCCCTTCATTACATCTAATTTGTTTGATGAATTAACATATATGTATATTGTTTGTTTTTGATAACTCTAATATCTCGGTAAACTGCAAACGTTTTGCTACTTTGTTTTTCATTTAATGTTTGGCCATTTGGCCTTGTGTTTGGTGTTTTGGGTAATTCTTAGTTAGGATGAACATTGTGTATGAAAAACTGTGGAAACAATTTGAGTCTCTGGATGTAGTATTTCCCTGTAGAAAGGAAGTAATTGGGGACTGGACTTCGGTTTTATAATAGTTGGTCTAATTCCATTTAATCCATGGCTAGCACGTAGCCTTTCAGGAGTTCCAGCTGAATACATTAGGTGCTTACTAGGATTTCTTCCTCCGTGCAAGGCTCAGAACTCTAATTTTTGCCTACATAGCCTCTTGAGATTACTGAAGGTTTTGCTTCAAAATCAAGGATTTTGACTTCCTTTGAGGAATCAGCAAACATCTTGAGGGAAAAAGTAGGGATAAATGAGGCTGAAAAGGGTTCTTTTTTCGCTTTCACACAGATTTTTTTTCATTAAATCTTCACTGCATTAGTATGTCTTGAATGTCTTCAAGAAGATGGTTTTTATATTTTGTCAGAGTTGATCTACAACAAGGCAGCAGCACATCATTATCAGAATGGGAAATCCTTTATATAAGCTTGAAAAGACTGTGTGTTCTACAATTCTGGGGTGCATTGATGTATACGTGTGTTAGACTATCTATTGATTTTTGTATTTATGTCTTATTACAGATTTAATTATGTCTGCTTAATCAATATGTGTCCAAATCTATCAGTATGACTATTGATTTGTCAATTTCCATTATTTGTCCTATCGAACTTTGTCAATTCAGAAACCATGTTATTCAGTCTACACTGTACTAGAATTATTATATTTTCCTGGAGAATTAAATCTTTAAAGGCTTTTATCATTATTTAGTATCACACTTTTATTGTTAATGGTATTTGTGCCTTAAAAATCTACTTGGCACATATATACATATTTTCCCTGGAAGATTGGTTTTAAAAATAATCCTGTATGTTATGACAATCCTTAACTAGAACATTTAATCGATTTACATTTGCTGCAATCAAAAATTTATTTCACAGCAATATTCCTTTTTCTAGCGTTTCTTGACCTCTTTTGGATTTCTTAATTGCATTTTCTCACTGAATTAATCATAATCCTTAACTCATGGCATATTATTAACACCAACAGTTGTATGCAAGAACTTCTCTTGTGTTATGCAGATATTTACATATTTATTCAATCCCTTCTTCTTGTTTTCCCTTTGTAGTACACCAAATCCCTATGAGTCTTTTTGGTTTTATATGGTCCTGCTAAATGTGAATTTCTCTTCTGAATGCATGCATTTTTAATATAGGTAAATGTTATTGTGCCACATAGCTCCATCTTCCTTACATGTTTTTTTCACTCAGGACTGTTACTGTAACATTTGCCGTTTTGCTCACCGTACATCTAGTCTGCCTTCTAAATGCTGCTTAGAATTTCATGTTGTGCGTCCAACTATATTTTAACCGCCTGTGCTTGCAAGAGTCTGCCACCTCAGAAAATGGTTCAGTGAAGCTCATTCAAATATGTGCCCTGGAAATCTATTTGTTTTCCACATCCCTTGTCTTACATTCTCCATCAGAGTTTCTGTCCCAAGAGACTGACTTGTATGGACTTCATCAATGTACACCTTTGCCATCAGTCACCTGGTAGGGCTGCCTAATAATGAATATGGGAAGGACAATGATGGCAGAAAGGAGAGGGGTTTAGGGTATTTTTTTACTTTGTGTGGTTATATCAGGTTGACTTTGTTGCCTTATCCCACTTTTACAAACCTTCTCAAGGCAGCCATTTCCACAGGCTTTTCTCCTTAAAGATTCTTGTAATCACTCCCTCACCTTATCCTCTTAGGCCTAGTGGTCATAACAGACCAAAATATTGTACTCTCTTTAGATTTTCTTATATTACACTTATCTCCTTTTGATAATTATTTTAGCGAGTGTCTTCAAATTATTCTAGCATGCTGGGATGTTGTCTGATTTAAACCTTATAGAACTGTAAGAGAATTGACATTATTTTACTGTTGCCATTACTGATTTATTTAATTCCTCAAAATCTGGAGTTAATAAATTTCATCATCCTTAAAAATGATACAAGAATTAAAAAACTTGTTTGCCATGAACCCCTATCAATTGGTATATTATGATTTTTGTCTTTTATCTTTTGTATTTCTTTGAAATCATCAAGATATAATTATTAACATTGTATACAGTGAATTTTTGTTTGATTTTATACATATGTGCCATGTTTTTTCATTTGCTGTTATGACTCCAACATTTAATGTTGAATCATTTCCCTTTTGCCTGAAGTACAGGGGTTTTTGTTTGTTTGGTTTTTAATTTTTATTTTATTTTATTTTTTGCAAGATAACAAAGTTGAGGTTGACGATTACTCTTTTTCCAGTGGATTGATAATAATAGCATTTCACTGTATTTTTCCTGTTGTTGTTGATAAGTTAGCTGTTAGTCTACTTATCCTGCAATGAAGACATTCTGTGTTTTCTGTTTAGCTGTTTTAAGATCTTCTCTTTGTCTTTGTGCTTTCCACTTTCACTATTGTGTGACTGGATGTGGGTTTCTTTTTATTTATTCCATTGGGAATGCATTGGCCTTCCTGAATTTGTGTACTGGTGATTTTCATTCTGGGGGGAAATTTCTCAGTCTTTAGTCCTAAAAATGTTTCTGCTCTATTCTTTTTATCTGCAACTCGAATAGGAGATGTAAGTTGTACCTTGTCACTTGTTTCAATCTTCCAAACTCTCTTTTTTAATATTCTGTATCTCCATATTTATGTGCTGCTCTCTGGATTCCTTTTTTTTAAGGAAATATTACTATTTGCTATTGCTGGCTTCAACTGCTTTAATATGCTTTTAAATTCATTTGTTGAGTTTGTTGCTGTCTATTTTATTTTATTTTATTTCTAGAACTTTATTTATATTTTAAATATACTTGGAAGTTAGAAAAATTCTTGCTCTTCATTCCATTTCTATTCTACTATATCTTTAAAAGTATAAAACACAATTACGTTGTATTTTAAGTCTGATGATTCCAACACTTCGAGTCTTTTGCGGGCCTGACATCTTTGTCTCTCATGGTGTCGTTTCCTTGTGTGTTTTGATTTTCAATTAAGTGCTGCAATTACTTGAATTTTTTTTCTGTTAAATATTGATAACTTACATGAAAGTTTTTTCTCCAGTAATGATTTACAATTATTCCTGGTAGGCGCCTAAGGTACTTTCAATTCATGACCACTTTCAATAAAATTATTAACTCTAAGTTCTTTTCTAACAATACTGGTGGCAAACTGAGGGAACTCATACCTATGGCTACAAATTTCCAGGACAGATCACCTCAAGCTCAGCTTTAAAGTCTTACTGGGGAATTTTTCTAAAACCTTACATGTGGATAGTTGGGGGTCTAGGATTATATGTAATTCACCTTTACACTGAGGGTGTAAAATTGTGGGTTCCCAGAAATATCTCTGCAGCTTCCTGCTTGTCTGTCTACCTTGGATGTCAGTGGGCTTTTCTCCAGGCATCAGTTTCCTTAAAGCCTATGAAAACCATAGCTGATTTGTTTTGTTGATTAGTAAAGTCCCTCTCAATATGTAAATAAGCTTTCATGCTCTAAAAGTATTTTCCAAAATATGACTTCTACTTCTTTTCAGCCTCTTACTCTCTTTCAATGCTTTTGTCAGTTTATTAATGTGTTTTAAAAGATTAGAAAATTTTTTTTTATTCACCTTTTTTTAAATTCATTTTTTGAGACGGAGCCTCATTCTGTCAACCAGGCTGGTATGCAGTGGTGCAATCTCAGCTCACTGCTGCCTCGCCTCCTGGGTTCAAGTGATTCTCCTGCGTCAGCCATCTGAATAGCTGGGATTACAGGTACCCACCCCCACACCCGGCTAATTTTTATAGTTTTAGTAGAGATGGGGTTTCACCATGTTGGCCGGGCTGGTCTTGAACTCCTGGCCTCAAGCAATCCTCCCACTTCAGCCTCCCAAAGTGCTGGGATTACAGATGTGAGCCACCATGCCCAGCTTTGTTCAGCATTTTTAGTTGTTTGCAATGAGATGGACAATCACAGTATCTAATCTACCATTTCTTCTGGAAACATAGTTTTAGTAGTTTTGGCAACACTATATATATTTAAGTTATTCAAATATTTATGTTATTCACATGATTAATATTTCATTTGTTTTGCTCAATATCAGAAGAGGATATTCTGTTTTTCCTGTTACTAAGACAATTTTCTTTCTGATATTGCAGTTGTTCCTTCATCATTGCTATGGGCAATGGATCCTCCTGAAATGTGATGTTACAAGGCAATTTTCTGTATTTGTCTTCTGTGATTCACTAACAGCTTGTTTGATTTTCATAACAGAAAATAATTCTCTTCAAATGCCAAAAGACAACTCATTTAAATAAGCCTGGTTCATGGTTTATCAACTTGATTACATCAGTTCTTTGAAAATACAGGAGTTTATACTATGGTTTTAGAAAAAATTGCTTTCTCTAGTGTCATTTATATTTTTCTAGAAAACAAACATATAATATGTAATGCCATGCCATCATAGTAATAGGACAAGGAGGGGTGATCCTTCTATTTCATCAGAAAGTCAAATGCATAACAAATCAATGTCAATGATGAAAGTGTTTCTTGTGCATTGTAAGGATCAAAGCAAGTTAAATGGCTTCATCAAGCCAAGGACATTGTGACTGGTCATAGGAGTGAAGCAAGATCATGATGCAGAATGAAGAGCAATTTTTGGTTTTGTATATGTCATGTCTATTTATGTTGGCTATTTTCACCAAGAAAATAATATAAAGGCAATGTGGAAAATAATAACACATAATGTATGTTTATATATGCAGTTTTAATTATATATTGTTGCCTTTCCTAATAACCTAATAGAGACTATTAAAGCTAAAGGAGATATCCTACTTTTTTCCACAAACAATAAGAACAATCTGAACTAAAAATCAAACACATGTAACTGATTTGTGAGATATTGCTACAATTTTGAAATTAAAATGTTCAGAAGTCTCTGCTTTGGACTCAGATGGTTGTTACCACAGGTAACCAACATTGAAACTTAAATTCATTTTTTTTTTCTTGAGACAGAGTTTTGTTGTGTTGCCCAGGCTGGAGTGCAGTGTGTGATCTCAGCTCACTGCAACCTCCACCTCTCAGGTTCAAGGGATTCTCATTCCTCAGCCTCCTGAGTAGCTGGGACTACAGGTGTGTGCCACCATGCCCGGCTAATTTTTTTTTTTTTTTTTAGTAGAGATGAGGTTTCACCATGTTGGCCAGGCTGGTCTCGAACTGCTGACCTCCTGTGATTCACCTGCCTCGGCCTTCCAAAGTGCTGGGATTATGGACATAAGCCACTGTGCCTAGCCCTTGAATTCATTTCTACAGTGTTCTATTCTACAGACATTTTTGAGGTTAAAAACAAACAAATAACCAAAGCAAAGCCAAACCAAAAAACTTAAAAAACAACTTACTGCAAATTCATTATAGCCTTATAACTTCTCTGTCTTTAAAAAGTGAAAGAAGTACCAAATATCTGCTCAAATTCTATAAGAGCTTTTAATTGTTTTACCTTTACTATTTTCTATAAGAGAATTATAAAATAATAAATAAATGGAGTTTATTTCAACTAGGCTATTATGTCTCTCACCCACTCTACCCACCATGCTCTGGTCCCATCACAGAAATCATTGGAATGCTTTTTGGTATATAAAGGAAAGCATGCTAGGAATATACATGACATGAAGAATAAAATGGCATTTGAAGTACTCTTTGTTTTGTTTAAACAAGAGACATGATTACATTTTATTTGAGATACCAGAATAACAATGTGTTTTTTTTTTCTTTTTTAAAAAAGTGGTTTGGGGATTTTGAATAGAAAGGGAACATGTGAAAATATAATGTCTTGTGGGTACTGTATTTCTGAGTACAGAGAATGTCAACAGTGTCCCTCAGTTTTTAATTCTGATTTTTGTGTACCTGATAAACACTACTTCTTACTTTTCTAAATGAAAAATGTAACCAATACAAGTAAACATAAGGTATATTTCTTGTCATTAGACAAGTTATCATACAGCTGGGGAAACAAACTTTATCCAGTTCTTATATGTGATACCCTTGCCTAAAGATTGCTTCTTTAGACATTGGTGATTGTGCCTGTGGTCCTATGTTGGCCACTAATTTTCTTTTGTTTTTGCCTTCATAAGATCCCAATATTTCTGGAAATCTGAAAACAAACATTCCATACAATATATTTTGGGACTGGCTTATTTATGTTGGAGAAACAAGCAGAGGGCACATATTCTTTTTTTTTTTTTTTTAAATCTATTCCATAAGGGTGATCCTTTGATTAAGAAACAGAATCCTTAACAGGTATCATAAATGTCCACTTATAAAGCTTAAACAATAATCAATGATATATGATATTTAGTTTTAGTACGTGACTATTAAAGATACCAGCTTGTAGAAGTTGATCAGCACATGCCTATCATTTTTATTTCTCTGCCTGGAAAGTCTGCTGCTCCACACGAAACTATCTTCCAGGCCACAACTAATCCAATAGCTGGTAGCAAAAAATGACACAAGCTATGTCAATGAGATTCTCTCTCTTCTAAATTTATTTTTGAAACTCCAAGAATCTAGTCAGGATATTTGTGGCCTAGATCACAAAAAGAATGTAAAATCAGAACTAAAGAGTAAGAGTTTGAAAAATATTCAAATAAAATCATAGACATTTAATTTGCTTCTGCAGAGAAATCTGGCATTCTGAGAGAGAAGAATTAAAGAGCCTTGCAAAGAGAGCAGAGATGACCACATGGTCCTGGAAAGATGAGGAAAAGTAGAAGCGGTTGCTATCCTTCTGATTTCTGGTTCTTGTCCTTTGTAAGACCAGACCAACATGTTTGTCTTTGAATGATGTGCAATTCCTTTGAATTATTTGAATAAATACTAACTTAATCTAGTTTATTTCTTGAAATAAAACAATTTCTAATTGTAATAGAGATTGCTAATTGTTTACACTATCCATCTTTCCTTTCTCTTCCCTGACAGAACCCTATATTATCAAGTGTAGCAATATGTTCAGCTAAAAGATTTGTTTCCCAGGCTCCTTTGCAGCTAGGAGTGGTCATGAGAATAAGTTCTAGTAAAAGGTATATTAATAAATGTGTTATCTGGGACTTCTGGTCAGTTTGTAAATGGAGATAGCTTATAGGAACTCAAGCAGCCTTTGGGAACGTGCAATGCCATGAAGATAAAAGTTTGGTAGTGAGGATGTTGGAATAGAAATTTGAGAACACTTGTGCCTTTCATGACTTTGGAGTATCTACAGGAAGGGTGAGCAAACTTTTCCTAAGGATTGCAACCACTCAGATCTGCTTTTGCCATATAAAAACAGACATGGCAATATGTAAACTAATGGAAATTACTATATTTCAATAAAAAAGACTTTTACTAGAGTTTTCTGACCTCTGCTCTAGATCATCTTTGCATTGCCTGTTATCAGATTTTGTTTATCTTTGGAGATAAGCTTTTTGGAGTTTGAGCCACTGTTGTAGGAATCTGAACTTGACCTGAATAAAGACCAGGATTAAAGAAAAAAGTAATGCATGATAATTGAACTGAAATGAATTGAACTTCAAATGTAGAGATCATTTGGAAAGACCATCTGGAAAGGTTTAATGGAGGTGGGATCTAAAGTGCATCTTGAAGAAGGCCACTTTTTATATTTGAGAGAATAACAGAATAACAATCCAGGAAAGAAAATGTTAAAACTGAGAAGGCAATGTAAGAAACAGCAGTGTGTACATAGAAGACTTGTTCAACTAGAATGAAGAATTCAAGAAAGAAAGAAATAAGGAAAAACATTGGAAATATATTCTGTGATTTTATTGTAAAAGGCAATGGAAGCCAGGCTAGGAAATACATGCTTTCCTTGTCTTTGATTATAAATCATTTTCTTTCTTTCTTCCTCCTTCTCTCTCCTTGCCCTCTGTTTCCTGATTAGCAGTCAATCTGGCATAAACATTAGGTAGGATGCTCTAATGTGGTCATTAGGGAAGGGTTTGTATAGACGGTGCATAATTATACTCCCTTACACAAAGGGGTTTGAAAGCCATTTTTCCACCTGTCTTTCATCATATTCAGAATATTGGAAGATGATGTATTTACTTTTAAGAGATTTCTAGATTTAAAAAGACAATGCAGGTCAAGAAAAAAAAATGAGATAATTTAGAAAAAGCCAAAAGGCCTTACTCCTGTAACCTTTGTGTACCCTTCTGCTTTACTAATTCCAAGTAGTTTAAAATCTCATTCAAAAGGGCATAATTCTTCCTAACTTTCTATTTACATTCGCAGGCCTTTTGTCTTTTTTGTTCCTTTATTTCTTCAAAACTGCCTTTGTCTGTATTAAATAGACATTGTCTAACATACCATTTTAACTCATTTCTTTGACTATATTTTAAAACTTAATTTCGTAGCAATTACCACGGGGATCACAATAAACATCCTATTTATAACAATCTAGTTAGAATTAATATAAACTTAATTTCGTGGTATACAAAATCTTTGCTCCTGTATAGTTTGTTTCCTTTCCACTTTTTGAGCTGTTGTCATATTACACAATGTGTGCCCACTAACTTAGAGTTTTAATTATTGCTTTATGTGGTTCATATAGGAGAGAAATATTATTATCAACAAGTAGTACATTCATATTTTCTTATTTATTTTCTTATATATTTTTGACATTGTTCTTTATTTATTGATGTAGTTTCAAATTCATATTTTTGACCTTTCATTTTAACTTGGAGGACTCTTCTGGTATGTTTTTGTAGGACACATCTACTTATAGTGTTGAATACCCTCAGTTTTTGTTTATGTGGGAACTTAAAAATTTCTCCTTATTTTTCAAGAATACTTTTGCTGGATATAGAATTCTTGGTTGACTTTTTTTTTTTTTTTTTTTTTTTCCTATCAGCACTTTTTCCTATCCTCTCACTACTTACTGGCTTCCATCCTTTCTGATGAGAAATTAGCTATTAATCTTATTACAGATCTTCTGTACATGATTAATCACTTCTCTATTGCTCCTTTCAAGACTATCTCTCTGTTTTTGGCTCTTGATAGTTTGGTTATGATGTGTTTAATTGTGGATCTCTTTGAGTTTATTCTACTTGGAGTTCTTTGAGATTCTTAAATGTATATGTTATTTTTAAAAAATAAAAAGCAAGTTTTCCATCATTATTTCTTCTAAAATTCTTCCTGACTTTTTCTCTCCTTTCCTCCTGGGACTTCTATAGTTTATATATCAGTATATTTGATGATGTCCTACAAGTCTTTGAAGTTCTGTTCTTCCATTTATATATATATATTTTTTTGATCCACGGATTGGATAATCTTGATTGATCTTATCTTTCTACTCAAATTTGCTGTTAAACCTTTCCTTTAACTTTTTAATTTAAGTTATTATTCTTTTAAGTTCCAGAATTTTTCTTGGTTCTCTTTAATAACTTCTGTCTCCTTGCTGATCTTTTCTATAAGTTCTCACTCTATTAGTTCACATGAAAGCTGATTGTTTAAGAAGCCTGGCATCTCTCTTGCTGTATCTCTCTCAGGCTGTCACATGCCTACTCCATCTTCATCTTCCACCATGTTTCTAAGCTTCTTGAGGCCTCACCAAAAGCATATGCTGGCACTATATTTCTTGTACAGTCTTTAGAACCATGAGTCAATGTAAACCTCTTTTCTTTATAAAATACCCAGCCCCAGGTATTCCTTTATAGCAATACAAAACAGACTAACACAGAAAATTGGCACAGAGAGTGGCACATTGCTATAAAGATACTTGAAAATGTGGAAACAGCTTCGGAACTTGGTAACAAGAAGAGGTTGGAAGAGTTTGGCAGGCTCAGAAAAAAGAAGATGAGGAAAAGTTGGAACTTCATAGAGACTGGTTAAATAGTTGTGACAAAAATGCTGATAGAGATATGGACAATGAAAGCCAGGCTAATGAGGTCTCAGATGGAAATGAGGAAGTTATTGGGAATTGGAGCAAAGTTCACACTTGTTCTGCTTTAGTAAAGAATTTGGCTGCAGTGTGTCCATGACCTAGGGCTTTGTGAAAGGTTGAACTTAAAAGTGATGATGTAGGATATGTGGTGAAAAAAATTTCTATACAGCAAAACATTTAAGAAATGACAGGGCTACTTCTAACAGCCTACAATTAGGTATGAGAGCAAAGAAGTGGCTTAAAGTTGAAACTAATAATTAAAAGGAAGCAGAGCATAATCGCTTGGAAAATTCACAGTCTGACCATGTGGTAGAGAAGGAAAGAGCATTTTCAGGAGAAGAATAGCATAAATAAAAAGGAGTGAAGTTTTAACAGACAAGACAATGGGAAAAAGGCCTCTGTATTAGTCCATTTTCACATAGCTGATAAACATATACCCAAGACTGGGCAATTTACAAAAGAAAGAGGTTTAATTGGACCTACAGTTCCACATGGCTGGGGAGCCTCACAATCATGGTGGAAGGCAAGGAAGAGCAAGTCGTGTCTTACATGGATGGCAGCAGGCAAAGGGAGAACTTGTGCAGGAAACTCCACCACATAATAACCATCAGATCATGTGAGAGTTACTCATTATCATGAGAACAGCACAGGAAAGGCCAGTCCCCATGATTCAGTTACCTCCCACTGGATCCCTCCCATAATACATGTGAATTCAAGATTAGATTTGTGGGGGTACACAGCCAAACCATATTAGCCTCAAAGACATTTTAGAAATCTTTGAGGAAACCCCTCCCATCACAGGCTCAAAGTTCTAGGAGGAACAAATGCTTTTAGAAGTCCTGGTTTTAGACTCTGCTGTACCCACCTTAGGAGACTGCTTCCCCATCCCAATTGCTCTTGCTCCAGTCATGGCTCAGATGGCTCCGGGTATAGCTTGGGCTGCCGCTTTGAGGAATGCAAGCCATAGCTTGGTGGCTTCCCAGTGGTGGTAAGCCTGCAGGCACACAGAACACGAGAGTGAAGGAGGCATGGCAGCTTCCACATAGATTTCAGAAGATGTATCAAAGGGCCTAGGTGCCCAGGCAGAATCCCTAAAGGGAGCTTCTACTAGGGCAGTGCTGAGGGGAGCCAAGATGGGAGCTCACACCCAGAGTCCCTACCAGAGCACTGCCTAATGGAACTGTGGGAATGGGGCCACCACCCTCCAGACCCCAGAATGGTAGAGCCACCAGCAATGTGCACCCTCAGCCTGGAAAAGCTGCATATATCAGAGTCAAATCCATGACAGCAGCCATGTGGGCTGCACTCAGAAAGCCATAGGTGTAGAGCTTCCTAAGTCTTTGGAACCTACCCCTCACACCATGCACCCAGGGTGTGGGACATAGAGCCAAAGATTACTTTGGAGCTTTAAGATTTAATATCTGCTCTGCTGAGTTTCAGACTTGCATGAGGATTGCTGTCCCTTCTTTTGGCTGACTTTTCCCTTTTGTAAAGGGAATGTTTATCCAATTCCTGTACCACCATAGTATCTTGAAAGTTAATAACTTGTTTTTCATCTTACAGCCTCATTGGTGGAAGGAACTTGCCTTGGGTCTCAGATGAGACTTTGGACTTTGGACTTTTGAGTTGATGCTGGAAGGAGTTAATATTGGGGGGGACTATTGGGAAAGAATAGTCATATTTTGCAATATGAGATTGTATTTTGCAATGAGATTTGGGGGGCTAGAGGTGCAATCATATCTTTTGGATCTTTTGTCCCAAATCTCATGTTGAAATGTGATCTCCAGTGTTGGAGGTGGGCCCTGGTGGGAGGTGCTTTGGTCATAGAGGCAGATCCCTCATGAGTGGTTTGGTGCCCTCCCCATGTTACCTAGTAAGTTCTCACTCTATTAACTCACACAAGAGCTTGTTGTTTAAAAGAGCCTGGCAGCTCTCTAGCTCCCTCTCCTGCTATGTGAAATGATGCTCCTCCTTCACCTTCCACCATGATTGTAAACTTCCTCACCAGATGTAAATGCCAGTACTATGCTTGTATAGTCTGCAGAACCATGAGCTAAAATAAACCCCTCTTTTCTTTATAATTACCCAGCCTCAGGCATTTCTTTATAGCAACAAAAAATGGAGTAATACACCTAGATAAATTTAAAAAAAATTTTGTGTTAACATTTTTTTTTTAATTTTAGCGAGGTTTATTACTATGAGTCTTGCTATGTTGCCCAGACTTGACTGAGAGTCCTGGACTCAGGTATCCTCCCAGCTTAGCCTCCCAAATTGCTGAAATTACAGATGTTAGGCTACCACATCTGGCCTCATTATCCTTAATTTTTGATTTTTAGATATAGTTTCATTTAGTCTTTTGAACATATTTAAAATAGCTGACTTAAACTTCATCAGTAAATTCTAAGGATTGGGCTTCCTCAGGGACAGCTTCTTTTGATTGTCTTCTTTTCTGTGTATAGGCCATATTTTTTTTGTTTCTTTGTATGTCTTATAATGTTATGTTGAAAAGAGGACATTTTAAATAATACAATGGGGCAATTCTTTAAATCAGATCCTCTCCCCACACAGTGTTTGATATTTTTGCTGCTGGTTGTAGTTACCATTTTTGTTTTTAGTGGCTTTCTGAAATAATTGTGTACAATCTGTATTCTTTGTCATGTATGGCCACTGCAGTCTCCAGTCAGTTAACTTAGTTGTCAACTAATGATTAGAGAAAGCATTCCTTATACATCCAGAACCAATCGGTCTCTCAGCCTTTGCTAAGAGACTGTGTGCATATTGGGACTGGCTTCAACACTTGGCCAGCAGTTGACACCACCACTGTAGCCTTCCTGTCCTACTAGTGAAGAGCCTCAAGGTCAGATACAAGTAAGAGAGCATGTAGGCTCTTCTCAGATCTTTCTTGAACACGTGCGCCATCTTATGTATGCAATGACTTTCTATATTCCCAATAATATTTTGACACTTTTCAAAGATCCAGTATATATCTTATTCAGTAACTTTTCTTCTTAAGCTTTCAGTTAGTCTATTGTTTACTCCAGCTGTGAACCACCTCGTCAGGTAGCCAAAAAGTTAAACAATTGCCTATATTTAGTTTTTAACAAAATCCTCCAGAGAAAAGGCTTTTTTTTTTTTTTTTTTTTTTTTTTAACTGGATGAGTGCTGATTCAGGTCAAATGAAGGGAGATTACAAGCCCAATCTTCCAGGAAACCACATAACGGGTCAAATAATTCCAGTTCTCTGGGAGCTGGCATTTGAAGCTTTGAAGCTTTGAAGAAGGTACAACCGCATTTTTTTTCCCTTTAGTGGCTTCCAGAGTTTCAACATAATATGAGCTGTTGGTTTTCAAGGTTACGATGGAGCTAGACAGCTGGGAATGGGACTAAGGTAGGTGATGTGGTTTGGCTCTGGGTCCCCACCCAAATCTCATCTTGAATTTTAATCCCCAAGTGTTGAGGAAAGGATCTGGTGGGAGGTAATTGGATCATGGGGGCAGTTTTCCTCATGTTGTTCTCAAGATAGTGAGTGAGTTCTCACAACATCTTATGGTTTGAAAGTGTGTGGCTTCCTTCTCATGCTCTCTCTCCTGCTGTCATGTAAGACATGCCTTGCTTTCCCTTTGCCTCCCACCACGACTGTAAGTTCCCTGAGGCCTCTCCAGCCGTGCAGAAATGTGAGTCAATTAAAAGTATTTTCTTTATAAGTTGCCCACTCTCAGGTAATTCTTTATATCAGTGTGAAAATGGACCAATACAATAAGTTAAAATGCCACAGACATTTTAACATTAGTTAATTTTCAGAGTTCTTAAAATATTGATTCTGATCATGTTTGCCAGCTTTCTTATTGTTTTTATGGATGAAATAATTTTTCCTATTTCTACCAACATACTAACTTCTGCTATTCAATAATTTAAAGTAAAAAATTTTATATTTGTTTCAGAATATCTTTATTGGACTTTCTAGTATTAGTTTTCAGATGGCTAATAGAACCAAGAAACAAACAAAAAAGTTTATTTTAAGTTTTTCTCCTCACCTCTTTCCAAAATTGACATGAGGTCTGGAAAATTATTATGTATCAAGTAACTACACTGTGACTAATTTCTTATTTTTCTTTTTGGGGTAGATGTAAACAGGTTTAATTTTTGAAGTAGGGTGTTAATGGCAAGAATATGTTTAAACTTTATCCTGATTTTTAAAAACTGTAAACAGAATCCTATATGGAGTTTGTTTTTTAAACTTTCCCATTTCTAATAACAAAATGTTCCTAACTTATAATACACACAAATCAGTCATGTCTGCTTAAATAACTTTAACTTGACCAGTCTTAATTTTAGAGAACCATCTTTTCCAGATTCATGTACATCATGTAATTGCTTAAATCAGTAGATATTCATACAAAATTCTGAAATGGAGTCTGGCTCAAGGTAGGATAGGAGTGAAACTATTGAGTTCTCTCCTTTCACTTTTCTACCAATATTACCTTAAATAATTTAACATCTCAAAGTTTCTCCACGTAAACTAAATGCAGGAGGACACCCAAATGGATCTTTTTTATTCCTCAGAACAAGAGCCCTATGTATGAACAAAAGAAGATCGACCTCCAAGTAATATGTGCTACAAATACTACCTTCGCCTTATTTGTGGATGAAGACTGCAATAGGTTCTTAATAAATGCTTGCTACGTGACTAGTGCTCAGTAAATTGCTGTCCTTAAATAATTTTTCTGAGGCATGAATTTATTGCACAATCATAAGATTTATTACATTCATGTGTCTACCACATGTTCACTGGTAGATAGATGAATCTCCATAACCCCCATTCTACTGCTTTTCGGATTAACACATCTGGGATTATGTTCCTAAGTACAAAGAGATGCCTATTAAACCAGATCTGACTTTGCGCTAAATTCCCCAAATGTGCTGACTTCATTTGACACTACTGTCTTTTGACAGGAGAGTCTCAGCTTTCTGAATAATGTTAAGCAGGGAATTACAATAAATGTGGACTTGGTAAGTGAATGTTGTCATTGTGTGTGCTCTTTACAAGCCTAGTAAGATGAGACTGACAATTTATAGTAGAATAATCTTCTGTCCAGTCCCTGTGCAGAAATTAACTATATGGCTTTTTAGTGGGTATTTCAGGAGGCTGTCATACTTAAGGTTTTTGAAAAATGACGATCAGATAAAGGACTCTAAAGGACATTAAATAATGATTTAAATAGGAGTATAAGAGCTAAGGAGGAAAATCTTGAACGACCCACTCTAAAGACTATTAGTTGAAGGAGAAATTAGACTCTAAAGGTTATGGTTATATTTTATATGACATAGAAAAACTCCCACTAAATCTTACAAATTCTAGTCAGGGAAAAACGCAGTGGCACAATTATTAATAGAAAAAGCAAAGAGAACAAATATAGCAGTTTCATTTAATGCTAATGTCTTATCTGTACTGAGTTATATAGCATCTGTCTTTTGAAGAAAACCAAAAATGTGGGAAATTGTGTTATTCCAGCTCTGCAAAGGACTACTATAATTCCCATTATAATGGGAAGATAAAAGAAAACAACAACACAAAACATATTTTCACCAGTGTGAGAATCTCGTATTCTTGCATGAGTGGCAGAATATGTTTATACATAGAGAACACAGTATATTCAGTATCCTACAAAAATATGTAAATATATAAACAATGCAATGCTTTTGGGGATTTACAAAATAGCATGACAAATAAATCTCTAACCATGTAATAATTTTGGCCTAATTATTTGGCTTTGTCTAATACAATAGAATTCTGAAACAGTAAAGTTTAAATACTAAATCATTATTTATGATGTGCTAAAAATTTCATTAAATGTATTTAAATTATTTTTTATATCTTAAGGAAAATGATTTGTTTCATTTTAGTAGAATAGAAAGGATTCTTTTATTCTTATCATATAATAATATATTAGTACAGTATATATTAATATGTAGTGTAATTAATAATTATGTTATCAATTAAATCACTAATTTATAATTATATTTTATATAATTTATAATACAAATATATTTCTCATCATAATAAGTAATATGTTTACACAAATGAATACTCTCATTTTTACCTAGTTATCTTGCCTATTATCTTGCTTGCTTGATTTTTAAAATTACAGTTCCATTTTTATTTACTTGTTTTTTGCCTTCTTTGCTAGATTTCGTGCTCCCTGAAGCCAAGACCCCTGGTTTATTTATTTTTATCTCTCACATTGTATTAAGAAAAATAGCTGTTATAAGGCATAAGTTTTGACCTTTAAGTAGCTTCCTTGATTATAGCTGCATTTTATGATAGAGAATATGGTATTTGTTACTCCATCGGCTTTTCTTTCATCATCAAATTTAACATTAGAGGGTTAAATCTTTGTGGCAATGACAGTCCTCATCTTCCTCATCTACTTTACATTTTCTGTAATTCCATTTCCCTTTTTTTCCATTTCCTAATATTTTATTCTTTCTCCTGATGAAACCATGACTACTGGGAGGTGATCGAGTGAATGGCTGAGCGTGCAGGCTGTGCTTAGACTCATTCCCGGCTCTCACCATTTAGCTGTTTTAACTTTGGGCAAGTTTCTTCATCTCTATGTCTCCTTGGCATTTACTACAAATCATGTTTATAAATTGCACAGGAAAATAAAGTAACTATACATAGAAACAATTGGATGGCCAATGTAGATATTCATACCTAAAAAAATAAATCACTGGCCAGGCCAGACACAGTGGCTAATGCCTGTAATCCCAGCACTTTGGGAGGCTGAGATAGAAGGATTACTTGAGTTCAGGAGTTCAAGGCCAGCCTGGAAACCAAATCGAGACACTGCCTCTGAAAAAGAAAAAATATCAACAGGTAGGACAATCCATGATTGTTATGTAAGATAAACAATAGAGACAATTTTGCAGGCTATGTTTTCTTTCTCTCATGAACGTCTTTAAATTTTGTAGTAGTGGAAAATTATATAATATTTTATTCTTCTTAACAGTAAATCTTTTAAAAATGAAGTGAACTTTAGTAAATATAGTGTTCTACGGAAGCATAACATTTATTTGTTTGTTTAAAATTTGTTTTTTAGAGATGGGGTCTTGTTTCATCACCCAGGCAGGAGTACAGTGGTGCAATCATAGCTCAGTGCAGCCTCAAACTCCTGGGCTCTAGGAGTCCTCCCATCTCAGCCTCCCTGGGACTACAGGTGTGTGTTAGCATGCCTGGCTAATTTTTTTTTTTTTTTTTTAGCGAGTGGGTCTTGCCATCTGTGTTAGGCCTTCCTTTGCATTGCTATGAAGAAATACCTTAGCTGGGCGTGGTGGCTTATGCCTGTTATCCCAGCCCTCTGGGAGGGCCAGGCAGATGGATCACCTGAGGTCAGGAGTTCAAGACCAGCCTGGCCAACATGCTGAACCCCCGTCTCTACTAAAAATACAAAAATTAACTGGATGTGGTGGCACACGCCTGTAATCTCAGCTACTCTGGAGGCTGAGGCAGGAGAATTGATTGAACCTGGGAGGTGGAGGTTGCAGTGAGCCGAGATTGCACCACTGCACTACAGCCTGAGTGACAGAGTGAGACTCCATCTCAAAACAAACAAACAAACAACACCCCCACTCCCACCCCCACCCCCCCAAAAAAAACCTGAGAGTGGTAATTTGTAAAGAAAAAATGTTTAACTGGCTCATGGCTCATGTTTCTGCAGGCTTTTTAGAAGTCTGGTGCCAGCATCTGCTCAGCTTCTGGGGAGGCCTTAGGAAGTTTCCCATTATGGTGGAGGCAAAGGGGAAAGCCAGTGTCTCACATGGTGAGAGAGGGAACAAGAGAGAGAGTGGAGGGGAAGGGAGGTGCTACACACTTTAAAACAATTAGATCTTGGGAGAACTCTCTCATTACCAAGGGGATGCAAATACCCCATGATGCAAACACCTCCCACCTGGCCCTATCTCCAACACTGCAGATTACATTTCAACATGAGATTTGGCTGGGACACAGATCCAAACCATATCACCATCTTGCCCAGGCTGGACTGGAACTCCTGGACTCAAGCGTCCCTCCAGCCTCAGCCTCCCAACGTGCTGGGATTACAGGTATAAGCCACCACGCCTGGCCCAGATGCATAATTTTATATACTATTTGAGGCAAAAAAGATTAAAGATTCTACCAGAAAACAATTGTTATTGCACAAGTAATGATATTTAGGTAGGAGAGCAAACATTCCTCCCCCTCCCACCAAAAAAACAAAAAAAAACCCTTTTCCTCAAGAAGAAAGCATCTGTCTATTTTATATGGCAGTGAGAAAATGTGCATTTCGCTCTACTTAGGCATTTGTTTCTTCCAGGGTATCCTGGAGGATTTTTGACAGTACATGCCAGAGGTTTGGAAAGTTTTAACTTTTAAGGTTCTATTTAATTGTAATCCCGATCCTTTGACAAAATGTTAAGTTTTAAAAAATAGGATTTTTAGGCCAGGTGCAGTGGCTCACACCTGTAATCCCAGCACTTTGGGAGGCCGAGGTGGGCGGATCAAGAGGTCAGGAGATTGAGACCATCCTGGCTAACACGGTGAAACTCCGTCTCTACTAAAAATAAAAAAAATTAGCTGGGTGTGGTGGCGGGCGCCTGTAGTCCCAGCTACTCGGGAGGCTGAGGCAGGACAATGGCTTGAACCTGGGAGGTGGAGCTTGCAGTGAGCAGAGATCCCGCCACTGCACTCCAGCCTGGGCTGCAGAGCAAGACTCCGTCTCAAAAAAAAAAAAAAAAAAAAAAAAATAGGATTTTTAAAGTTTTAAAAATATACAATTTTAACCTCACACTAATTTATGACATCTTTACAAAATGTGATCAATCTTTACAAAAATATTAACTCTAATTTTATGATAATTCAATGAAAATATGATCTAAGGAGTACTATTTTTATTCATTAATTTTATGGTACCAGCAGTTGCTTCATACTTGTTTTTGAATCTTTGAGGAAAGATTCATTTATTCCAGGTATTAATCTGAATACCGTATTACTTAAGCAGAATTTATTTACATAATTTTGAGTGAATGATATGAAGTAAGATGTCTTATTCCATTTTATATTTTGCAAAGTTATCCTGTTTTAAATGGGGTTATACATTTGCATGCATACTTGTTTCTCTCTCCACTTTTTGGAAAGGCTATTTTTGTGGAGTTTTGTTTGTCCTACTCTCACAAAATTCATAGGTTGAAGACTTAACCTTCAATATGATGGTAGTAGGAATTGAGGCCTTTAGATGGGGTCTTGTGGGCAGAGTTCACATGAAGGGGTTATTGCCTTTATAAGAAGACAAATAGACATCAAGGCTCCCTCTCTCCACCATGTGAGGACACAGTGAAGAGGCATCAACAATGAAAACAGTATTTCCTATGATTTAGTTAACTGCAGTTCTATGCTAGACACTATACAAAGCAGTCAGCACACACATTCCCATGTCATTTATTCACTCAATGCATAGTTTAAAGTGTTTATTATGTCCCAGGCACTGTGCTGGGCATTGAGAAGGTAGTGATGGGCAGGAACAGGTTCCTGCTCTCATAGAGCTTAATTTCAGTGGGAAAGTCAGACAACAAACAAATAAAAATGGTGTAAGATCATTTCAAAAAGGGCTGTGCTGTGAAGAAAGCAATACAGGTGTTGTGATAGAGAGTGACAGAGGAGGGGAAACAGGAAGGAAATAAAATTATATTATGTGGTCAGGGAAGGCTTCAATGCAAAGTCACATCGGAGGTGAGACCTGAATGATGAGAAGAGAGACAATGAAGACCAGAGGAAGGCACAGTCTAGGAAGGAGAACGAGCAGATGCAGAAAGCTAACTGAAGTGGGAGTATCTTTAGATTATCAAGGAATTCAAAGATGGCCAGTGTGGCTGGAGCATAATGAGTGAAGAAGTATAAGCATTGATGCTGAGGAGGAAGGCAAGGGTTAAGTCATACAGTGGCTTGTGTACCATGTGTCTTAGTCTGTTTTCTGCTGCTTGTAATAAAATACCTGACTTTGGGCGATTTATGAAGAAAAGGAATTTATTCTTTACATATACCTTATAGGTTGAGGGGCCTATACCTTATAGGTTGAGGGGTACATCTATAGGAGGGCCTTCTTGTCGGTGGGGGCCTCTGCACCATCCTGAGACAGTGTAGTGCATCATGTGGTGAGGGTGCTGGGCATGCTAACTCAGGCCTCTCTCCCTCTTGTCATGAAGCCACCCAGCCCCACTCCTATGATAACCCCATTAACCTATTAATTCATGAATAGATTTATCTCTTCATGAGGGCAGAGCTCTCATGACCCAATCATTTCTTCAAGACTCCATCTCTCAACACTGCCACATTGGGGCTTAAATTTCAACACACATTTTGGAGGGGACAAATATTCAAACCATAGCACCATGGGAAAGGATTTGGATTTTACTTTAGGTATAAAGGAAAGGTTTCCACTGAGGAATGGCATAATCTGTTTTGTATGTTGTGATGGTTAATGATGAGTGTCAACTTGATTAGATTGAAGGATGGAAAGTATTGTTCCTGGGTGTGTCTGTGAGGGTGTTGCCAAAGGAGGTTAACATTTCAGTCAGTGGACTGGGAAAGACAGACCATCCTCAATCTGGGTGGGCACAAACTAATCAGCTGCCAGCATAGGCAGAATAAAAGCAGGCCGAAGAACGTGGAGAGATTAGACTGGCTTAACCTCTGAGCCTACATCTTTCTCCTGTGCTGGATGCTTCCTGCCCTTGAACATCAAACTCCAAGTTCTTCAGTTTGGGACTCACACTGGCTTCCTTGCTCCTCAGCTTGCAGATGGACTATTGTGGGACCTCACCTTGTGATCCTGTGAGTTAATATTCCTTAATAAACTCTCCTTTATATATACATCTATCCTATTAATTCTGTCCCTCTAGAGAACCCTGCCTAATACGTGGGTTAAAATGACCGTAGTATGGTTAAGTGGAGCATGGTTTCTAGAGAGTCTAAAAGTAGGAAGCAAGGGATGACAGGGAGCCTACTGCAGTACTCCAGGCAAGAGATGGTGTTGGCTTGAATTAGAGTAGTTTTCAGGAGGTAGAGTGAAGTGGGTGGATTTGCATTGAGCTTTTAAGAATTGCTGGTAGGATGTGCTGATGGGTTGACTGTGATGGGAAAACCAATTTGCCAGATAGATGGATGTACTAATTTGAGATGCAGTTTTAGTTAGAATACTGGTTAAACTGCTGTGAAACATTCAAAGATAACAGAGGTTTAAAAAAGATAGATGTTTACTTCTTTGTAACATTGAATGTAAGTGGTAAAGATCTGAGATGATAAGGAATGATGAGGACCAAGAGTTCTATTATTTTGTTCCTCTGTCAACCTTAACATTACGTTTCCTTCCTGCAGTTAGGATGACTGTTTCCAATCTTTCTATCACATCTCAAGCAGTAGGGAAGAAGAAAGAGAACAGAGGGGATGCATTCCTTTCTCCCTAAGATTACAACTCTAAAGTTGCATTTATCACTTCCACTCTTATCCCCTTGTCCAAACCCAAGATATAATATATAGCCCCACTCTATTAGTCTGTTTTCATGCTGCTGATAAAGACATACCTGAGACTTGGTAATTTATAAAGAAAAAGAGGTTTAATGGACTGTCAGTTTCATGTGGCTGGAGAGGCCTCACAATCATGGCAGAAGGCAAAAGGCACATCTTACATGGCGGCAGGCAAAAGAGAATCAGAGCCAAGCAAAAGGGAAACCCCTTATAAAACCTTCAGATCTGATGAGACTTATTCACTACCATGAGAATTGTATGGAGGAAACTGCCCCCATGATTTAATTATTTCCCATCAGGTCCCTGTCACAACACATGGGAATTATGGGAGCTACAATTCAAGATGAGATTTGGGTGGGTACACAGCCAGACCATATCACGCACTTACATAAGAATGAGAAGAGAGGGGTGGGAAAAGTTGTCTACAGCAGGGTGTCCACATTCCTGAGAACTATGAACACCTGCATTAATGTGACAAAACTGTTAGGACTAGGAACTGAGAGCCTTTGTGTCAACATAACTTAATTATTTGTTCCATCCTAGAATAGATAAAAGACTGTAAATCAATAAATAGCTTCACTATTTGCTTCAGGAGATTCTTGTAAGTCAGTTTGTCTGAGATAATGAGATTCTGTTCATCTGTGCAAACAAATTCCTTATCAAACAAAAGTTTACTTCTCAAGACTTACTTCAAGACCCTTGCCTTACTGTATCCATCAGTCCTAAACAATTATGTCTTGAACTTCATCCAATCCCAATCAGTTATCTTCCTTAAAAAGTCTGCTCTACACTAATTGAAGTCATAGCCCAAACCCTGAAAACTTCCCACTTATTAACTTCCCTTTCTGATACACTAAAACTTCGTCAAGATCGTGTTCTTTCTTGTTTACTGCAGTGAGTTTAACCTTTGTTTCTGTTTTATCAATAGATTGACTAATCATATTTTGAACATTTCAACTATCTGGCGATTCACCAGGATTCAACTGATTGGCCTCTCAGTCCCCTAGCCTCAGATCCTTCCTGGTAAGAGAGCATGCTCCTTCGATGCTCTTGAGGTTCCCCTGACTAGAATGGTGGGGCAGGTTTTGAATTAGGCCGAATGCTGATTATTTTTCATTGAACCAAAAATGGTAGGTATATATTTGTCCTAGGGAATGGATTCCCTCTTAGGAATATTTTGATAATGAGTCAGAATTATGAACTCTTGTCTCGGATGGAAATGCCTTATGAGTAATAAACCACTGTTTTGCTTGTCTTAGTCCTTTCTTGCCTCTGTATGTCTTAAATTTCTAAGAGTGTGTATAGGGAGAGAGTAGGTGTAGGCTTGATAAGTCCATCTTGAAACAAGTCAAGGAGGTCTGGTTAGACACCCCTTGCAAACTTTTCCGTGGGTCACTTTATGTGGATATAATTTCACTTTTCTCAGTCTTATCTTTGCATCCCTGAGAACTACTTTGTTTAGACCCATCTTCCTGGAGTCTGGAGATCCTTCATCAGCAATGATCAGACTCTTGGCTCAATTCTGGAGACATAAAGTTGCACCTGACCATTTCTTTCTGATTATGGCGGAGCTCTTGAAATTGTCTTAATGTAAACCTGAGTCTATGCCTACTCTCGGATAAGCCATGTGACTATCTTTCTAAATGACACAATTTCACCTGTCATGTAGGATTACAGGTGTCACTTGGGAATGACCTTTGATATAAACATAATTCTTCATTTGTGAAATATCATGGCAAAACAGATAAAATTCCAGAGGTTTAATGGTCTTTAAGTTTAATTGGTATGAAAAGATTTTCAAAATAAATTTAAATTTCAAAATTGCTTCCTTAGAGGATTCTTTGGCCAACCCGTATTAAAAATATGGAAAAGTTGAAACTAGATGTTCTTTAATTCCCCCCAAATCAAGACCTTAACCAAATAAAATAAATATTATTACCTTAAATTGGAAAATGAGGGAATTACCCTAAGGGGACAAATACTTTGTCCAGTGACACATAGAGTGGTAGGCATAGTACTGACTCCCCCCAGATGCAACAAAAATGTCCTAATCTCTTGGAACTATGAATAGGTTACCTTACATGTCAAGAGAGATTTTGCAGATGTGATTAAAGTAAGGGTCTTGAGGTAGCATTATTGTCCTTAGTTATCTGGGTGGGCTCAATAAAATTAAAGGGATCCTCATAAGTGAAAAAGGGAGGGGGCAGGCTTGGAGTGAGAGTGATATGAAGATGCTACACTGCTGGCTTTGAAGATGGAAGAAGAGGACATGAACCAAGGAATGCAGGTGGCCTTGAGAAAGTGAAAAAGGCAAAGGAAGATTCTTTCCTGGAGCATCCAGAAAAAAATGCAGTCCTTTGAGACTCTGATTTTAGCCCAGTGAAAACCATTTTGCATTTCTGATTTCCAGCGCTCTAGATAGATATTCATGTTGGTTCAAATCACAAAGTTTGTGGTAATTTCTTATAGGAGCAATAAGAAAATAACACAGCTGATAAATGTTGCAGCAGGTTTTTGTCATGTCTGACACTAAAACACATTTTTTTTAACCAGCCCAGATAGTTCCCCCAAAACAAAAAGCAGTAAACAAACCACAAACAAGCCAAGAACAAAACGGAAGTCAAAGTAATGAACTAGGAATTGAAGAGCAAAGTACAATTAACAAAAAAAGTTTGCCTATGTGTGTGGGGTGGGTGGGGTGGCGGTGGTAGTGATGATGAGGGGAAGCTGTGTGGTGATGCAACAGTCTTATTAAAAATGTTTCAAATAAACATGGATTTATTACACCCTGTTCAATGTGTGTAGTTGAGAAGATCAAGCGACAAGCTTTCAAACAGGAGGCAGGCACTATTCCCAACCTGCACCACTTAGAAAGGTTCTATTTTGAAGAGTCTCTTTATGTTTAATCGATTTGTATCTCTATTTATTCCAAGAAAGCCCTTGCTAAATTTAATGTAATTCAATTTAGATATTACCAGTAGAAAAATATCTTTTTCATGTTTTCCCTTTCTCTTTTCAGTTCCTTCTTATTGGCAGGAATGTTTTGACATTAGCTGTTTCAGACGGGGCAAGGTTGCATGATAAACTGAACTTGGAAAAGCATCCTCTTTGATTTTCACAATGAGATATGCTTGTACATTCATGATGCTACAAGAACAGATTTGTAGCAGCATTACAAATAATGTTTTAATTACAAGTAATGCATTAATTATTCCACAGACCTTGGTGCCACTGTTCTCAAGGCTCTCTGAAAGTACTGCCCATTCCCTCTGCCTCCTTGCTATAATTGCCTACAATAATCTGCAATCAATCTCCCCTTTGTTCAAATTATCTGATTTCAGTATATCCTAAAAATGCTAGGAAAAAGATAAATATCACCATAGATCTCATTCCATATTTATATATGCTGTTGGCATGCCCCCAGATTCCTGACTTATATTTTTGGAAACAAATTTAGAGAATTCAAATTTCTATCAAATATTTCTTTTCATTTTTAGGCCACCTCTTCTTTTCTCTGGTTTCTGATTACATTAAACAAAAGAGATATCTGAGAAAATAAGTGTGGCATTGCCAAGCATGCTTTCTTTTTTCTTGAGCAAGGTTTTGGCATAATTTAAATTCCTGTGAAGACAGCTGAGATTATTTTCAGTGGAAGTGCTCATATTAGTAATACTTACAAATATTCTTTTGTGAAACTAGGTTAATAAAGAGCCTCAAGTTATTGATTAAAAAGCAAATTCTGATCTCCTTTTCTGCCCTATTTTCCCCCCAAAAGTTTTGGAAGGGTGTACATTTGCTTCTCTTTTGACAAAAAGAAGCTTGGTATGCAACTGGGGATCCACTTCAGGGCTGAAATAGGACAACACCAAGGATGACAGCACATCTGAGGCAGAAGTTGTTCCCCTGCATACAATAAATATATAAGTTGGTAATTACACCCCTCTTCAAGTAATCTATTTTGGTACTGACCACAAGTCAGGAGCCACTTTCCAAAACACTGTATACATGGAAAATAAAACCTCTTGTTCTTTTATAAAATTATGTATTATTTAGTTTTTGATTCAGTAATGCATGTGTTATTATAAAATTTCTCAAAATACAAAAGCCAACCACCCAGTTGCTTTCTACAGAGACTGCCAATATAACCACTTCTTCACCTTTACAAATGTATGTATTTTAGAAAATTTTATATATATATATATGTTTTTGTTTATTTCCCTTGGACATAAGAATAGCATATCACACACATCGTTCTGTACCTAAACACAGGCAATTTTTATTATTTGTCGTAGTTATGTTCTGTAGTAAAGTTACAACTAATACTGAATTAGCAAATAATGAACCATTGCTCCTAGAGGAAATACAAAGTTAGGTTCCTATGAGCATTTAGTCACCCTTTCATCACCGATCAATATACCACCTCGTTTTGTGTATCTTCCTGTTTAAAGACACCTTACTTAACAAATATTATTGATTTATTAACACTGAATTCACTGCCAATGACACTATAATTCATGCCTGAATGAAGCTTATCTAATGCACATATTCTTTCTTTAAGGTACTTCACAAGCCTTCTTGTGCTTAGTAATACTAACCAGCATTTCAGCATTGCACTTGGGGGCCATTGTAAAGTGGAAATCAAAATCACCAATGAAAAGCATAAAGATGAAAAAATGTGGCACTAAATTGACCCTGAAAAGGAAATTTGGCTACAGCATGAGCACTGAAATAAGAAGTCAGTCACCTTCCTTGACCTCAGCTAGGAACATGTGCAAGGGCATCCCAAGTTTTTCATTGCTCTATGTATGTGTAGAGAGTCACTGCAACGGCTCTGTGAATATTGCTTTTGGGGTTACAAATAAGTTTTAGTTACAAATAAAATTTAGAATAGGTGAATTCATGAATTCTGACTCTGTGAATAATGAGGATAAACTGCATTTCCTTAACTATATACCTTGGCAGTTTTTCCTAATTGTACTCAGAGGGTTGGTCCATTCTTTTAAATAGTTAACTTTTATCCCATTGTAGGAATGCAACATAATGCATTTAACTGGCCCCTTGTTAATGGTTGTTGTTGTTGTTGCATAGGAGCAATATTCTTGGCATGTTATTTTGTACATAGGTAGGTGTAACTGTAGTACTATATATTTCTAGAAATTGAACTGACAGATCAAAGTACATATGGATTTTTTTTCATTTGGTAAATATTTCCCTTGTTGTTTTTCTACATTTTAAATCATGAACCTGCTCCACTAAAATGTCGTGCTCCAGATTTTGTAAACAGGTTATTTTTTAATAACTGAAGTATAGCATTCCTTTAAGGAGGTATATAAAATTTTTAAGTGAAAAATCTAAAATTTAAATTGAACTCCATCCTGTAGGAAAAAAGTGGGCTTATTTTAAATTGATTTTTATGCTATGAGACAAAAGTCGGGAAAAAAAGATGATGAGTTTCATCCCATTTAATATTGGTGGCTGCAATTGGTAAAAGTCCAATGTTTTTCAAGCTAAACATGGTGATTGTTAAGGGATGACAATGTTGAAAGGTGTTCCCACACCCAGGCTGCTATAGACAGCTCCCATCCCACCATGCTTCTATTGGCAGCACAGTTATTGATACTGGCATATGGTAACATGAATTCCACGACCATTTGGGGAAGGAGATAGGCTACATATTCTACCTGTCAATTATAAGTGTGAAAGAAAATACAGGATGAAACTTGAACACATTGCAGCTGATCTCTTGAGGATTGTAAGACTACTTTAAACAATAAAAAGAGTATATTTTGGCACTACTTTTGATCAAGACAGTCTAACTTATTTTTAAACATAAACCCAGGCAAGATATTTTGTTTTTTCACCTATGTTTTGACATTTCCTCCTTTGACCTGAGGGCCTGGAAGAGTGTGAAAATTTGGCTTTTCTTAGTGGAAGAAGAGATCTTAAGATTGCTCATTACACCAGGACCTGGGAACGTAAGAGGTTTGGAATTCAAGAAAGGTTCTTTGAGTAAGAAGCCTGAGGGAAAATGTGGAATGCAGATCGAGGTAGGTGATAAATTGAAGAGCTATTTATACTTAGAAAATAATGAAATCAGTAGAATGATTTATAATCCTTTGGGTTTATACCCAGTAATGGGGTTTCTGGGTCAAATGGTATTTCTGGTTCTAGATCCTTGAGGAATTGCCACACTGTGCACATTTGTGCTTATTGCAGCATTATTCACAACAGCAACCCAAATGCCTATCAATGATAGACTGGGTAAAAAAAATGTGGCACATATACACCATGGAATACTATGCAGCCTTAAAAAAGGATGAATTTATGTCCTTTGCGGGGACATGGATGAAGCTGGAAACCATCATTCTCAGCAAACTAACACAGGAACAGACAACCAAACACCGCATGTTCTCACTCATAAGTGGGAGTTGAACAATGAGAACACAGGACACAGTGAGGGGAACATCACACACGGGCTTGTTGGGGGGTTGAGGGCTAGGGGAGGGATAGCATTAAGAGAAATACCTAATGTAGATGACAGGTTGATGAGTGCAGCAAACCACCATGGCACGTGTATATCTATGTAACAAACCTGCAGGTTCTGCACATGTATCCCAGAACTTAAGTATAATAAAAATACTAGAAAATAATGAAATCAAAACCAGGTTGCTGGAACCAGATGAACTAACCAGAAAGAGGGTGCCTTACCAGAATCAGGCAGTGAGTCAACACAGACAGGACTTAGAGGACAAGGCAGGCATTGAAGTTGGAACGAGATTAATGGACATGAATGATCAATTATGGATCCACTAAAAATTGATAAGGGTTAAGGAACCAAAGCAAGGTGTGTAGGCTATACATTTAAAAAAGAAGGATTCAAATCTTGACCAATCCACTGTCTTGTCTTTGTACATTTAGGTTTCTGTTAGGGTAACAACTAATTTCCAAGTTTGGACATCCTGGATTCTGTAGCTGAACTTCAAGCAGGAACACAAGGTAGTGAAGGGGCATGAAAAGCTTTTGGCACCATATTTGCTTAATTTCTTAGAAAAATTCTATTATAGTAAAGATTATAAGTTCTGATTTAAAAATCCTTCATAATTCCACTGTTTTACAGGATCAATTGTAAACTCTTCAGTATATCATAGAAAGGACATCATTTTTAGCCCCCGTTATCATTTCTGACTCAACTTCCCTACGGCAACATACACATACTGATCTCTAGCCACTCCCGCATGGAGATTTCTTGATTATATCGAGTTATCTCATGCCTGAGGTGCTGTGCATATCTCCCTTCTGCCTAAAACATCCTGTCCTTCTTCTTGTTCGTTTGAAAGACTACCAATCAAGTATGACTTCTCTTTGAAGTCTTCCTTATCATCTCAGTAGAACTAGGTTCTCCTCAGTTCCCATAACATATTACACAAATCACTGTTTCTTATCTTATCTTTGCTGCATTGGAAAGTGCCACCATATGACAGAGCGGAAACTGAAGCTCAGAGAGATTATAACACAAAGGCATATTCCCTGAACATCAGGTAATATTCTCAAACTAAAATCATTGATGGATCTTCTTCAAGAGGTTTACTTCTCCACATTGTCTAGTATGGCGTATTTGATACTTAGTCCTTTTCTTATTGAATGGAAGTAAAGTGTATAGCAGACTGTCATCTGTAAAAAAATACAGTAATAGCTGAATTTATTTTTAAAATGAAAAGATAAATAGCATTGAATTAAGGGACAGTAAATTATGTCTTTATCATATAGAAATTTCTGTTTTCTTATCTCCCTTCAATTATACCTATATATAATGTAATAGTTTTGTGTATATCCCCAATCGTAATCATTACAATAATTCAAGGAGCTAGCATTGTTTACAAGCAATTTAGAAATTCCCTGCTTATTTCTTTTAAAACAAGGTCTTAGGATAGTTGTCTAAGAATTATTACAGACAAGAAGGTATGACTTACCCAAGTATATAGTCAACAGTGGTGATGAGACTTAAACACAACCTTTCTGATTTTTGCTATACGGCTCTCCCTATTATACTGTTACATAGATAAATATCAATCTGTTTTTGTCAATTGTCCACATAACTTCTCAATTCAGTTTCTACTAATTGAATGTTATTCAGTATTATAATGAAAGAATGAGCACTTGGAACTTTGTACAGATGTAAATGTCAGACTACAAATTCAAGCAAGCAAGAAACAGTACATCTCTTTCTTTTCCATATATAAAGTTAATTTCCCTATTAAGCCTTCTATCCTACCCAGGTCTGGTAGAGAAAAATCTCAGTTATTCTTGGACTTCTCTCCTTACACAAGGTAATGTAAGGATCAGGCACCTTATAGTTGCTAGGTTATTTGGGGAAGCGTCGTCAAATCCTATGTCTATTAGTCCATTTTCATGCTGCTGATAAAGACATACCCGAGACTGGATAATTTATAAAGAAAAAGAGGTTTAATGGACTCTCAGTTCCACGTTGCTGGGGAGGCCTCACAATCATGGAAGAAGGCAAAAGGCACTTTTTTTTTTGAGACGGAGTTTCATTCTTATTGCCCAAGCTGGAGTGCAATGGTGTGATCTCGGCTCACTGCAAACTACACCTCCCAGGTTCAAGTGATTCTCCTGCCTCAGACTCCCAAGTAGCTGGGATTACAGGCATGCGCCACCACACCTGGGTAATTTTGTATTTTTAGTAGAGATGGGGTTTCACCCTGTTGGTCAAGCTGGCCTCGAACTCCTGATCTCAGGTGATCCACCCACCTCAGCCTCCCAAAGTATTGGGATTACAGGCGTGAGCCACTGCACCTGGCCGCAAAAGCATATCTTACATGGTAGCTGGCATGAAAGAATGAGAACCAAGCGAAAGAGATTTCCCCTTATAAAACCATCAGATCTCATGAGACTTATTCGTCACCATGACAACAGTGTGGGAGCAACCGCCCCCATGATTCAATTGTCTCACACTGGGCCCCTCCCACAGCATGTAGGTATTATGGAAGCTACAATTCAAGATGAGATTTGGGTGGGGACAGAGCCAAACCATATCAATATGTCTTCAAAAGTTATAACAACCAATATACAGAACCGATGGCCCCTTCATGTCTATGGCTATCTGTGACTTCAGTGCCAGTGTCCCACAAAGGCATTTCTTTATTTAGCTCACAGTACTGCAGGCTGTACAAGCACAGCACCAGCATCTACTCAACTCTGGGTGGGGCCTCAGGAAGTTTTTACTCATGGTGGAAGGTGAAGGAAGAGCAGGTGTGTCACAGGAGAGAGACAGCAAGGGGTAGAGGGGAGGTCCCAGACTTTTTTTAACAATGAAATCTTGTGGTAACTTACTACCATAAGGAGAGCATCAAGTCACTCATGAGGGACTTGATGTGCCCACAATATTTTAATTAAACTTTGGTCATGTAATAGAATCTGATTTCTGAGCTCCTATATGTTAATGTTCTCAAGGAAAGATGTGAAGTCCCTGTAAGCATTTGATGCTCTTGTCCTGTGTAAATGTTGAGCTTTAGACTTTTTTTAGTTCCTTTGTTAACTTTAGTTTCCATATATTCATTTTGGGTGGAAAGAAGGCTTCCATAATGGTTTTCATATAGAAGGTTGTTTTTTTCTAAATGCTCCTAAAGTTGGATCTTAACATTTACTTCTCCCCAGGGAGGTGGAATGAGTTGCCTCGTTGTTGAATTTGGAAGAACTGGGCATATGTCCTCAGTCTTTCCCCACCCTTCTCTCTGGGGTCAGCCTTCCTGCAGAAAGCACACCTTCTAGCCCTCCCTACCTTGAAGAAAGCTTAACAGAGATTGGTTCCACATGGAGACTTCTGCAGTATCAGTTATAGCATCAATACAGATGATTTCTAAAAATCTTCATTCTGGATAACTTTTTTGTCTTATTCCTTAATTGGTTCACCTTTTGCATGGGGAAAGCAATGCCATAATTAATTGAGCTTCTTCTGAAACACCAACAATTACTTTGAACAAGGTCTTTAGTTTCTAGAATTAAGTTTTGCCTCTATAGAACAAAAGCAAGTGGTTGCAAAGTTAAAAGCAAAAAAAAAAAAAAAAAAAAAAAGCAAGGAAGTCAATAAATTGTCAACATATTGCCAAATAAAGATGGCTATACTGCCTTTTATTACTTAATTGAATTTCTAAGTTAAGATCAACTAAATCTGTTGTCATAGTTTCAGTCTATATATACAATTAAATTTGTTTTGTATATTACTTTTTAAATTTCCAATTAAAATGCAATTTCACTTATTACACAAGTATTTTTGAACATGACTCAGGCATGCATATTTATATCCTTATACCAAATTATTTATTTTTCCTTCCAGCTCTTCCATCAATCACATTTTCTACAATGATACTGGTCAGCATGGCCTTTACCTTTTGGACATTTTCAGTAATACTGACAGTGGAGAATAGAAAAAATGTCAATGTGTTCCTTTTAGATTTTATGAATGTGGTTGCAAAATCATTCCAGAACTAAATTAATATAATCTTTTCCAGTGTTGGTAAACAATTATCTTGCTGTCTCACTTACCAGATTAACAATGAATATACATTAATAGCCCTAATAAATTAGCAGTGGATGATGAGCTCTCTGGCATATTCTTTAGAAATGGGTAATTCTAGTTGTAAGATTTTTAAGTGTTGTAGCAGACTAACAGAAGACCTGTTTGTGGTCTATGTTTATTTAGAACACGATAGACCAATAGAAGACATATCTGAAATCATTTAGAACTTCTGTGTAATAATTTAGTCAAACATTTATACAGTGAACAAATATTTATTCAGCGTCTACTATATACCAGACTCTGTAATAGGCTCTGGGGTTGCAGAGCTTCTTGCAACTTTTCAGGTCATCCATTTAAGTATCCATTCTATCCATTCCACCCATCTATCTATCTGGCTAATAATTCAGCTATCCAATGAGCCATTACTGAATATTTTACATGTGTCAGTTGTTCGTTCAGTGTCTGTCTCTTCTGTTAGAATATTAGTGCTGTGAAGGAGGTTCCAATGTGACATGCTTATAACCTAGCACAGTGCTTTACATGTGGTAGCTCAATAAATATTTGTTGAGTCAATGGATGAATATGCCAGGCCCCATGCTCAGTGCTGGGGAGATGAGATTGACTAACACACTGTACTTGCAGCAGTGTATCTTAGTGCCTATTCAAGAAATTCGAGTAGACACAGTCTAGTCATCTGAGTAATAAAACATTAGCCATAATGCTCTTACTCCTAAAGAAGAACCTAATTTCTTATAACTGTATTTTTCCATCTCAGCACTGTAAATCAATATTATATTTTCCACATTTTTCTCATTGGCCTGTTAATGCTTTTCCACATCTGACTTATCATCGACACTTTTTCTTTTGTCCCCTCTGATAAAATTACAATCAGACAAATATTTTCTAATGTACTAATAGGCCTTCCTTCCTTCCCTCTTTCCTTCATTTCCTCTTTTGCTCCCTCCCTCTCGTTTTTTCTCTCCTTTTTTCCCTCCAAAAGTCACCATTAAATTGGAATAACTGAATATATCTCAAATTTGATAACCTGGTTTTACAAACATATCTGAAGAGTATTTGAGCATTTAGAGGCTATTATTTCTTAAAATATTTTATTTTATTGCCATGTGTATTAGTCTGTTCTCACATTTCTATAAGGACCAACCTGAGACTGGGTAATTATGAAGAGGTTTAATTGGCTCACAGTTCTGCAAGTTGTACAGGAAGCATGGCTGAGGAGGCCTCAGGAAACTTAAAATCATTGCAGAAGATGAAGGGGAAGCAGGCACATCTTCACATGAGGGAGCAGGAGAGAGAATGAAGTGGGAGGTATTGGACACTGTTAGACAACCAGATCTCCTGAGAACTCACACACTATCATGAGAACAGCAAGGGGGAAGCCCACCCCCATGATCCAGTCACCTCCCACCAGGTCTCTCCCTCAACACGTGGGGATTACAATTCAACTTGAGATTTGGGTGGGGACACGGAGCCAAACCATATCACCATGTTTGTGTTCACCTACTGATATTACGGTTGGTAAAATCTACATGTTACATCATACAGTTAAAAGTACATCTCTGTCAGAGGTTGCATTGGTTCTTAAATTTTTAGATCAATGTTATCTAATAACAGTTTTGATATTGATCGTTAAAATAAAAGTGCACGCAATAAGCTGCTATGATAAGACAAACATCTCTGAGGAAAAGTAAGGTATGTGAATAGGAAAGTCTCATTAGTAGAATGATCACTTCCCCAGGTGCCAAGCTGAATTAGATCACAATTAGAACTAGCAATGTCTCAAGAAACAGTGCTGAATGGTGAGTTGGAACTGTTGGTTTCTTCGACTTTTTGGACCTTTGCACAATTCAGTGACTTTTCATTAATTAGGTTGTCAGTGCTGCAGATCCTGGTAATCTGAAATAGTCCATCTACTCCTTGGAGGAAAATACAATAAAAATATCTTCAAAGTATTTGCCAACCAAGTTCTTGTCAAAAATATTTACTATCTACCTAAGCCAGGCTGAAAATAAAGGAAATCAAGAAAAAAAATGAAAATTGTTCTGACTGGAGATCCTTGTGCTCACAATGCAGAAAATTCAAAAGAATTTGAATTGCTGACATGTGATTTTGTTTCCTTCCTATTCCTGGTATTCACTCTGCTAATGCAAAACTGAAAATATAGTATTGTAGCACTGTATATTGACATTAGTTATAGAAAGTTAAACCTTATTTCATTTTATTTGTTTTAAGTTCTGGGGTACATGTGCAGGATGTGCTGGTTTGTTACATAGGCGAATGTGTGCCATGGTGGTTTGCTGCACCTATCAATCCATCACCTAGGTAAGCAGGGGTTAAGCCCCGTGTGCATTAGCTATTTGTTCTGATGCGCTTCCTCCTCCCACCCTCCTGACAGGCCCCAGTGTGTGTTATTCCCCTCCCTGTGTCCATGTGTTCTCATTGATAAGCTCCTACTTATAAGTGAGAACATGCGGTGTTGGGGGTAAACCTTATTTTCTACTGGTTGTTTTTTTCTACAAAAACATGAAAAAATTAGTGTTTCTATAGTTCATCATAGAAACATATGGATTAGATTTTTTATCCGTATCGTCAAGTGGATCAAAAGTTGGAAATTCAAACCTAATTTGATGAATTAAATAAAAATATAAAAGATTAAAATCAACTTGACCTTTTAGGGCATGTATATTACCAAAATAATCAGTTTGAATGATATTTGTCTACTAGGCAAACATTAATATTAGTGCTAAGTAGACATAAACATTAGATTTCTAGAAAATAACAAAGAATGCACATACACTTGATATATATTGCATGTAACATTTCTCCAGAAAGGTAAAAAGTGCATTAATATCTAGTGAACAATATTATATAAAAAAGACAAGGTTAAAGGGGGTGGGCTTTTAAAACATATTATTTGTGATCACAAAATTAATTACATACTAACTTTTTCAAAGTGGAAAAAGTCGTAATGACTTTCTGATCATAAGAATTATAAATTTTCGGAAAATTAATGCTTTGATAAATAAAACAAGAGAGAAAAGTGGAAAAAGAAACAAAACCAGCACACCACAAATCAGAGATCATCATCATTTACATTTATCATCCCTTGAATATTTCATAAACACTTGAGTCAACAAGTCCAAAGCAAAACTGAGATCTTTCCTCCATATATCTGCTTATTGTCCTATATTCTCCATTTTAAAATTATTAATCCACATAAATTAAGCAAAAAATCCAGAGTTAATATCCAATTCCTCTTTCCCCCTCATATCCAACATTCAATGGATGATTAAGATCATTCCTCCACCCTCAAGCATTCATATTTATTCAGTGTCCCCGATTTATACTTCCACCTTCGAATGTAAGCTAACGTTACCTTTTGTCTGCTCCATTCAACAGCCTGCTATACAGTCTCCTCACATCTCCTTGATTCCTTCTCATGCAGTGTTTCCCAGTTGGGGCAATTTTTCCCAGTTGAGGCTATTTTTTCATCAATCTTAATGTATTCGAGTATTAAGTTATTCAATTGTCATTTTGGTTTCAGTTAACTAGTTGAGGATGCTACTGGCATCTACTAGGTAGAAGTCAGGGATACTGCCAAATATTCTGCAATGCCCACAACAACCCTCTCCAGTAAAGAATTCTGTGGTCCAAAATGTCAGTAGTCTTGAGATTGAGAAACACTGATTGAATTCATTCTCATCACTGTCTCCAGAATTATTCTGTAGAAATGCAAATCTTATCAGGCCAAGCTCCTGCTTGAAATCTTTCAAGTCTTCTCATTGTTTTTAAATTTACGTTCAAAAGTTTTAGGCTGGTTTACCTGTCTACCTTGTCAGATTTGTGATGTAAACTTTTCATTTGCCAATGCTAGGAAATACTAAACTTAAAAAAAAAACTTTTTAATCCCACTATATTCTTTTTTGGGGTAGTTTACAAAGAAAGAAAATTTATCTGGCTTTGGTTCTGGAAACTGGAAGTCCAAAATCTAGGGGCTGCATCTGGTAAGGGCCATCTTGGTACAACATAACATGGCATGAGGGCATCATGTAGTGAGAAAGGGCAAAAGATGGCAAGTACACAGAAGACAGAGAGGAAAAAAGGGTGGAGCTCCTATGATGATTAATTTAGCCCCTTGATAATGGCATTAATTATTCACAAGAGTAAAGCCCTCCTGACCTAGTCGCCTTTAAAGGTCCCAACTCTTAATACTGGGTATTAAATCTCAACATGAGTTTTGAAGAAGAAATTTAAACCATAGCAATAAGGTTAGATGTTTTCCATCTTATTCATGTTTGCCTTGAATTTCTTTATTGATTCTATTATTTACCAAATTTTTCTATATTGTTTGTTCCTCAATCTCTACTCTCCACTCTTAGTAAATTGTTAAGTGTGCTGCATATTTTCAGTTCAACTAATTATTATTTAATAATTTCAAATAATAAGCTGGAATATATATTTTATGCATTTCCCAATTTATAAGCATTTGAAATTAAATAAGAGCTATTAAATTCATCCTTTACCCCAAAAGATAATGACATTCTCCACTTACTTTTTCCTTTTTCGGCAACATGATCATGGGTTTCAGTGAATCTATTATTCAATTTTATTACTATTATTATTTAAATTATTTGTTTGTAGCATTAACTTTTATAATACTATAGCAATTTGCTATTCTAAATTCTATCAATATCTGAAATAAATTTATGTTTATATTTATTCCCTGTTTCCCTCTAGACTGTTTTGTTGTTGTTGTTGTTGAGACAGAGTTTCGCTGTTGTCACCCAGGCTGGAGTGCAATGGCGCAATCTTGGCTCACTGCAACATCAGCCTCCTGGGTTCAAGCGATTCTCCTACCTCAGCTTCCCTCAGCTTTGTAGCTGGGATTACAGGCACCTGCAACCATGCCCGGCTAATTTTTGTATTTTCAGTAGAGAAGGGGTTTCACCATGTTGGCCAGGCTGGTCTCCAACTCCTGACCTCAGGTGATCCGCCTTCCTTGGCCTCCCAAAGTGCTGGGATTACAGGTATGAACCACTGTGCCCAGTCCGTCTAGACTGTTAATAACAGATTTTTTATGTGAATCTGTTGTTCCTTATGTGAATCTTTTCTTAGATTGGTTTAAGTTTGTGTATGTGAGTGTGTGTGTGTGTGTGTGTGTGTGAAATAATTTTATATTCCCTGAATATCTAAGATTGCCTGTTTAATTCCTTCATAGATGATTAATAACTGGAGTGAATGTATAATTTTGTCAATGACTTTTCCTATCAAAACTTCATAGAAATTGCTACACTGTTATCAGAGGTTATTGAGAATAATTAGAACAGTCATATGTTTTTTTCTTTTATTGGTAGATCATTTACCTTTTTTCTACCTATTAAGATTTTCTTCTTGACTCTTGAAATTAAACAATATCATCAATAAGACATGTCTTGGTATTTCTGGATTTTTTATTTCCTAATATGGAAGCCCTGTTCAATTATAGATTTAGTCTTATTTTCCTGTAAGTTTCTTTTACTTTTGAACAGATTTTGCTTCATTTGTTCACCTCTCTCCTTTAGACATATCAAGTAGCTATATGTCTGCTCTCATACGCTTGTCCTCCATATCCATCACCTTTCTTCCAGTTTATTTCTTCCCTTTCATTTCACTTTTCTTTTTATGATTTTGCTTAAAATGTCTTCCTCATCAATTTATTGTATGTATTCTCTAGTAATATTGTATATATTACAAGTTAAGTCCTGCAATTGGATTATTTTCCATTCATTTCTTTGCTGAGTCAACAACTGTTGCATCTTATTTCTTACCTAATAACTGGTTCTGAATTTTTGGTTTCAGAGTTCATATCTTTTGCTATATTTTTGATACATTGGATCAGTTTTATTAAAATTTATTTTTGTTTCCTGGGATAGTGAAATCAAACTCCCAAAGTATGATCTTAATCTATCTTTCCACATGGTATCTTTTTTCCTTTCCCATTCCCACTATACTCTGAAATTATTGTATCATTTTATATTTATTTCATTTGTTTAACACCTGTTAGAATAGGAGATGTTATCTCTTCAAATGTTATATATCCCACTTTTCTGTACCCACATATATCCTTCTCTTAAAACTTGAACAGAATTGGATATTGACAATTTATATTATTTGTACAGACACTCATCCGTTTAGGATGTTGGAACAGTCCTTTGAACAGTGATTAATTATTTAGGGATTTTTTTTTCTTTTTTTGACGGAGTGTCTCTCTATCGCCCAGGCTGGAGTACAGTGGAGTGATCTCGGCTCACTGAAACCTCTGCCTCCCAGGCTCTAGAGATTCTCCTGCTTCAGCCTCTCAAGTAGCTGGAACTATAGGCACCCACCACTACATCCAGCTAATATTTGTATTTTCAGTAGAGACGAGGTGTTTTGCCATGTTGGCCAGGCTGGTCTCAAATTCCTGACCTCAGGAATTTCTGCCTTACTCTCCCAAAGTGCTGGGATTATAGGCGTGTGCCACTGTGCCCTGTCAAGGACTGCTTTTCTAGATTGTTGTCATATAATTTTGAATCAGAAAAAGGTTCTTAGTTTTCTTTAAAACCATTCCACTCCGCCATGCTGCCCTTAATTATGTTATTTAATTATAAGTCAGATTAGCAACATATTATACTTCAGTGGCTTTTGATTTAGAGTAGTTACAAGATATCTACCGTTTCTCATGCTTGGTGTTAAAAAACAACAATGGCCACTAGCAAATTACTCCCTGTGTATAGTGCTTTACCTACTTCTCAGATAGAATATAATGGTAAACTTTTTTTTTGCTTTTGGCCACAATGAAATAATAGGTACAGCATTTACCTTCTTGTCATAAACAACTAGAAAACAATTACAGTATATATATAAAGTGATAGTTTTCACATATTGGAAAACAGACAATGCAAAACTGTGATCCTTGAGAGAGGGTAAAAAAATAAGGTTAGCCCTACAATCATCTTGACTTGATTCTTGTGGGTACCTTCCAGATCTCCTCCTTGGGAGGAGGTTACCAAACAGACCATGGTTGAAAGTTGTTGAGACAGATTTTAGAAATGGGGGATCCAAAAAGAAAAAAAAAACCTTCAGAAGTCTGCATAGGCAACCTGTTGATTTTCTTCTGAATATTAAGTTGAGCATGTGTGGGGCGAAAACTCTGTAATGTTGGACAAACAAACATGAGTGAGCTGCGACTTGAGTAATTTCTGGACTTTGTACAACAGGATTGTCTTACAGGATTGTTTAAGTTGCAATTAACCAGAAGTGAGAGTCCCCACTGATTACCAAGGTATTCAGTAGATGTTGATGAAGATTTTGACTTAGATATGGGACTAAACATTCTCTAGAGTATAAGGTACTCTAGAAGTACCCTAACAAAGTTAAATCAAATCTTGAAAGGATCCAAGTTAACCTTAAATAACTTATAGGGAGAAAAAAGATCAACATTCTTTAAAGAGAGTACAGAGTACAGATCACATTCAGCAACATAAAATTCATAGTGTCTGACTTATGATTAGAAATTGCTGGATATGCCAACAAGCAAAAAAATTATTATTACAAAATAATAAATAGACTCTCAGTGAATTTTGCAACCCTATAGCGCATTCTAATAATGTATGTGTAATAGGTGTCCACAAAAGGAGAATGTCAGGAAGAGAAAGCAAATACACATTATATGTAGTGGAACAAAGATAAAAAGGACTATAAAGTTTTCATAAGAAACTTTGCAAATGAGAAGACAATGGAACAAAAAGTTTAAAGTAGACAAACAAACAATAACAACCCACAAACCTAGAGCTCTCTATCCTGAAGATGTGTCTTTCAAAAATTAAGAAAGAATAACAAAAGAGAGGATAAAAGATAATTACAAAAGAGGAAACATGATGTAGACTTAAATCCAACCATGCCAATAGCTGCATTAGATGTAAATAGTATACAAACTCAAATTAAAAAATTAGAGATTGTTATGTTTGATTAAAAACCACAATCAAACTGTACCCTGTCTTCAATAAATTTCCTTATACAAAGATACAGATAGATTCAAATTAGATGAATGAAACAAGATATGCCATGTAAGCAATAATCCTAAAAAGTTGGCCTCACAAGGAACAGAGATAAATGATATTCAATTCATTAATTAGACTTAGTAAATATAAATATGATGCAATTAATAACAGAGCTTAAAAGTGCATGAAAGTAATATTGACAGAACTGAATAAATTGTTAAATCCACAATTGTATTTGGTAATTTCAACATGTTTCTGTCAGTAATTAGCAGAACAGGTAGACAATAATTTATTAAAGATATAGAAGACCAGAACAATATTCTTAATCAACTTGATCTGAAAAATACATAGAACATTTTGCCTAACAACAGTGTAATGTGCATTCCTTTGAAGTACACATGAAAACAGATTTAAAAATATACCACATGTTGCCATTAAACAAGTTTCAATGAATTCAAAAAACAGAAACTACACAGTTTTTTTCTCACAACATAATTAAATTAGGAATAAGGTGTAATAAGATATCTAGAAAATTCAAATATCTGGAAATTAAACAATATACCTCTAAATAATTCATGGGTCAAGGAAGAAATCACACATAAATTTAAAAAACATTTTGAAATGAATGAAAGCAAAATTAAACCAAAATTGTAGAATTCAGCTAATCCAGCAAAAGCAGGGAAATGTATAGTTTTAAGTGATTATAGTAAAACAGAAGCCAGATCCCAAATCAATAAAATTTCTACCTTAAAAAGCAAGAAAATGTTAGCTAGGCATGATGGCCCATGCCTGCAGTCCCAGCTACTCGGTAAGCTGAGGTGGGAGGATCCCTTGAGCCCAGGGCCTGTAATAAGCCATTATTGTGCCACTGCACTCCAGCCTGGGCAGCAGAGTGAGACCCCACCCACTCAATAAATAACAACAAACAGAAACAAAGACAAAAAAGCATGAAAAGTAAAAGCAAGTTAAGTACAAACTAAGTAGAAAAGAGGAAATAATAATAATAACGGAAAAGAAAATGAATGGACAACCTCATGAAATAAAAAGGTTAGTGTTTGAATGGAGTAGTAACATTGAAAAGCTTCTGTCTAGGTTAACCAGGAAAGGTAAGAGAAGACACATATTGCCAATATCATGAATAAAAGATAGTATGTCAATATAGATTCAACAGACATAAAAGGTATAACAAGGAAATATTATGAATAAATAGACATTAATACATTGTTCCACTTAACATAAAATTGGCCAATTCCTTGACAGACACAAAGTACAAAATGGTCTCAAGAAGATGTAGAAAATCAAAATAGATTCATATCTGTTAAGGAACTTGACTAACTAAAATCTTCCCACAAAGACAACTTCAGGCCTAGATGCATTTGCTGATAAACTTGATCAAACATCTTCAAAAACCAACCAAAGAACAAACCAACCAACCAACCCAAATGATGGCAGTGGCTACTGCCATCACAGCAGCTGCAGCAGGGATGCACAGCTGGGGTTGCACACTCCATGGAGCTGGTGGGAGCCCTGCCCCTTCTGAGTTGGAGCAGAAGTTCCCTAAGTGCTGCTGCAGCCTCCCAAACCAGCTCCAGACCTAGCCCTCCTGCTCTATGGACCAGCCAGGAGCCCTGCTGTCCTGGGTGGAGCTACAGCTGCTCAAACTGTGGCTATGGATCCGAGCCTCCCTGTGCTCTTTGTGGGAGCCAGGAGCAGGCAAGATCTGCCCTACCAGGAGCAGCTTCAGCCACCCAACCCATGGCTGCAGACCTGGGCCTCCTGCTCCTCGGAGCAGGCAGGAGCCAGGGACAAGTGGGAGCATCGCCTCGCCCCTTCCGAGCTGGTGGGGCCGGAGCTCCTGGGGTGCAGCTGCGGCCACCTTCCCAGGTGCAGGACCTGGTTATCTTTGCAGTCTGCACCCTCAGGAACCAGGAAGACTCTTATCCCTGCAGGCTTGGGAGTGTCTGCTCCCACTGCCTGGTCTCTCTCCACTCCCGGAACCTGCTCCAACCTTGGAGCAAGGTTAAGGCTGAGCCCCAGGGCCGTGAATGGCAGCAAGAGGCAGGCAGATTCATGGGCAGAAGGGGGTGGGTCCTGATAAGGTTTCTCCTTTATGCCAGCAGGGGTCTGAAGGCTGGGGGCTGGGCTGCCAGTCTGGGGGACTCATGGTGCCTCTTTCAGCTGCCCATGGCAGCCCATGGACCAACCTGCATGCACTTCCTCCCCTCTGAGGTCCATAAAAGCCCCAGGTTCAGCCAGAGCAGGACAGAAGAGGGAGAGGGTGGAGAGACAGGACAACCAGTTGCAGAGAGGGACTACCCTCTCTGCTGATAGCTGGAGATGATGGGCCAACCTGCTGGCAGAGAGGAGCCACCCTCTTCAGGGCCTCCTCTCTGCTGAGAGCTGAATACTCCAGGAAAGGACCGCCCTACAGAGAGGAGCTACCTACTGTGGGTCTCCTCTGAGCTGTTGTAACACTCAATAAAGTCCTCTTCACCTTATCCACCTTACACTTGTCTGCATACCTCATTCTTCCTGGACGCAGGACAAGAACTCAGGCAAAGGTGCCACCAGACAGAGAGGTTTCCGGCCAGAAAAGTGGCACCCCAAAGATCCCATAAAACAAACACTAATTCTACCAATATCTTTCAAAAAATACAGCAGGAAAGAATACTTTCTTTTTCATTTTATTAGGGCAGCATTATTCTCAAGTGAAAAATCTGTCAAATACATTATTGACAAAGAAAACTATGCACCAAGATCCCTAAAAAATATAGTGTGTAAAAAATAAAACACTTGAAGCCAATATTAGCAAATCAATTCCAGCCATATGTGAAAAAAAGGATAATACATCATAACCAAGTAGCATTTATACCAGAGACACAAGGTTGGTATTACATGTGGAAATATGTTTCATCTTATTACCAAAATAAAAGACAAAATCCATATAATTATCTAGAGGTAGGAAAAGCATTTAACAGATATTTAACCACCATTTATGAGAAAGATATCAGCAAATTAGGAAGAGAAGGGAATTTCTTCAATTTGATAAAGAACATTGTATTGGTCCATTCTTACAATGCTATGAAGAAATATCCAAGACTGGGTAATTTATAAAGGAAAGAGGTTTAATTGGCTCACAGTTTTGCATTGCTGGGGAGGTCTCAGGAAACTTACAATCATGGCAGAAGGCACCTCTTCACAGGGCAGCAGGACAGGGTGAGAACAAGCAGGGGAAATGCCAGATGCTTATAAAACCATCATATCTCCTGAGACTCACTCATTATCATGACAACAGCGTGGAGGAGACCACCCCCATGATCCAATTACCTCCACCTGGTCCCACCTTGGGACCAGACAAGCCAAAAAAGCAAAACGTTTAAACAGATATAGCATAAAATAATGTACACAAAATACCAAAAATCACATGAAAAGTTGCTCAACATTATTAATATACTGTAAAATGTAAATTAAAACTGTGATTAAACCATCATTCTCAGCAGAATATCGCAAGGACAAAAAATCAAACACCTCATGTTCTCACTCATAGGTGGGAATTGAACAATGAGAACACTTGGACACAGGAAGGGGAACATCACACACCAGGGCCTGTTGTGGGGTGGGGGCAGGGGGGAGGGATAGCATTAGGAGATATGCCTAATGTTAAATGACGAGTTGATGGGTGCAGCACACCAACATGGCACATGTATACATATGTAACTAACCTGCACGTTGTGCACATGTAACCTAAAACTTAAAGTATAATAAAAAAATACCATTACACAACACTATAGTGATTAAATGCATACCAAGGATCTATGAAAAAACTTATATGCAAGTGTTATATTAGTTTTTTTTGCGATAACTTTAATTGGAAAAATCTCAACTGTTCTTCAGCAGTTAATGAATAAACAATTTGCTGTGTACACACAGAATGGAATGTTACTCAGCAATGCAAAGGAATAAATAGACTCATTCGTGCAACTGCATAAATGAGTCACAATAAAATCTTGCTGAGCTAAAAGGGTCAGATACAAAACCTAATGTAACCTTTTAAGAAAACACATTTAATCCAGATTGACAGACATTAGGTCAGTGTTTGAGCTGGGAGCAGAAGGTGTAGGATTGATGTGAAGGGGCACGTAAGATCTTTTGTAGATGATAAAAAGGCTCTATTTCTTGATTGTGGCAAAGGTTACACAGGTGAATAAAGTTGTCGAAACTCATAGAAAGGTATGCTTAAAATGGGTGCATTTTATTTTATGTCAAGAATACTTCAACAAAGTTGCTGCCATTTAGTATATTTGCTGGGAGAAGTTATCAGTAAAGATTCTGGAGCTGAAGAATATAAGTGAATTTATTTATAAGCATACACAGTACAACCTGGGGACGCTTAAAAATGATTTAGTAGATGTGTGGGTGTGAAGTTTGGAGTTGCAGCAATTTATACAGGTGGATTACAGAACCAGTAAAATATGATGTGGCAAAAATGCTAATACCACCTCATTCATTTTTGTAGGCCAGTAACATCTGAAGATATGTGAATTTACAACCAAAAGAACAAAATCATTTTTCCTTTTAAGTTTAGAAAAACATTTATTAGGTTTTCTAATATAATGTAATTATAATTCTCTCTGGAAAAAGAATATATGTATCACATATCATGAAGCTTCTGTAATGTGTTATAAATTTAATCTGAACAGATATCTCTAATTGTTAGAATAATAAAAATAATGTGGAATTATAAAGCAATACATTGAAAAGTTTATACAGAATCATAATGCTAAAGCCGGAAAGGATTTAAAAATATTTAATACAGTTTCTTCATATTAAACATAGTGACAGAAGACTAGTTGGGTGGTGGCAGATTGTATTATAGTCACTGATTTTTCATCTTTCTTTCTGTCTAGGACCTTTGACATGCGGTTTTTGATTTCCTCACATAAAAGTGCAGTATTTTTCCTGACCCCGAGCATTGGCGTTTGGCTGGGTGACATGCTTTGGTTGATAAAATAAGGCAGAAATAATGGTGTGCCAGCACCGAGCCTCGAGTGGATATGGAGGGGTTTGCTGGTGTTTTGTTATCACCATGAAAACAGCATGCCTGGGTTAACCTACCGGCACAAGGAGGAGGACAACACAGGAAGAGCAGACCGGCCTCTGTTGAACTGTCCCATCTGAGCCGGGCCTGGAATAGCAGATCCCCAGGACACAGCAGAGAGAATTTTACACCAATGAGTCCTTACAGGTTTTCCAGTGTCCAGTAAAATAACTTGTCTGGGGATGGAGTAACATAGTCCAGGGGGCTAGAAGTATTCAGTAAAGTCTAGTGTTTCTGTATTAATTGGAGGATGGATTTGTACCAAAGTATAGAGGAGTAAAAGACCCAAAGTGAAGATGTAGAGAAAACAAAATTGGCTTTGATTCACATTTAATCTATCAGAAGCTAAGTATTTTCAGGTGTTAACATGCTTTACTTTGGTAATAGCACAACTTGAATGCTGAACTCTATTTTACATTAAATGTGGTCAGATTGTAACTGACCCTTAAGCTGTGGGAAAATAGGAGGCTATTTCAAAAAGAATAAAGATCAGAGAGGTAAGGCTTTGTTTCTTGGGAGAAGACAATCCTTGGTATTATTTTTCCTAGTAGTCATTATTTTAAAATAAGATATAGGATAAAATGTCTTAATTCAGTCAAGTGAGAAGGGAGACTAGAGGTGTCATTGAGATTTGAGATCTAAGACAAAAAATAGCATGATGTCCTACTCATAGTAGACCAGTATTGTCTTCTGTTGTCGGTATGGCTGCTGTCCATCATAGCCAGGGTGATCACATAACCTGTAACGTGTCCTTGTGGAAGGCCTTGGACAGTGAATGTAAAGTCCAGGAGGAGATCCTGGTTAGATCAACTCAAATAACCATGCAGTAAACCTGAATGAAGCACAGATGAATTCAATACATCAAAAGCAAATGATAAAAAGAAAACGACAAGTTTTCTGATCAGACAGAATAAAGTATCTCCTCTTTAAGTAATGCCAAATGTGAAACAGATATAAGATGAATGGAATTAGTAGCAAAATAGCAGCCATATAAGCATATAAAGGTTAATCCTTACATATTTGAAATCTGACTTTAACAAAGCAAAGAGAAATAAATTTTTGCAGTTAGCAAAGTTAAAAAAAAAAAAAGACAGCCTGGTGAGGAATATCATGAATCCTTTGATAGCCATTATTAGATGTGGTCAGGGGGGCATGCCAGTATCAATAGACTGACAATGGGGAAAAGAAAATAAGTGAACTGGGTTAAGCTAAGGTTAGGGAATTAATTACGCAAAGGGGCTGACTTCAAAGGGAGTGCCTGGTTGTTGTCCTGTACTTCTGGCATTAGGAAACAAAACCAACTTGAGCTCATTTAAGAAAAAAAAATACATATATATATATATATATATAAATATATATATATATATATATTTATATTTGAAAGATGCAGAGTTACCTTGCAGAATGGAAGGTTGTTGAGTTCAGTTTGATTTAAAGCAGGAATAATCAGAAGTCCATGTGCCCACACTCACTTAATTCTTCCTGGAATTCATGACCTGTTGCCTCTGCTTTTCCTTGTTTGTTTGTATGATTCTCTGCTCTTGACAGTCTGGCTTCACCTTCTTTTCTGTGATCTTAGCAGAAGAGGCCAGCTTCATTTCTGCTGCTGTTGAACCACCTCAGTTAAGTGGACCACTAGGCTGATGTAGAAACTCAAACTCTAAGTTTTCAGGAAAAATAGTTTTATTTGTTCAACTTCAATGCTGTGCCCACTTCTGGCTTATCAATTATGTCCAGAACAGAACATTTGTACTGTCACATTGTATGAACAGACTTCCAGAGGCGTCATTCCCCTCTGTTAGTGGAAGGGGTCAGTTCCCATATGAGGAATGTTATCACGGACTGGGAGACATCTTTGAAGGTATCATCTTTTTTCCTTGGCTGCTCGACAGATAGCTTTCCTTCTTCCCACATGTTCACCAGTGTTCTTGGGTTTGGCCCCTATGTGAAAGAAGTCAACCATTTACTAAGGCATGGTGACCCTTAGGCCCAGGAAATTGTTGTATCCAGAGACAACTGCAACCTATAGTGGGGAGGTTTTTAGTGGTGGAAGAGAAAACTGTCACCAAAAAAATCCCATTTAGCAAATGGGGCAAAAACCAACATTTCTATGCTAATATATACAATCGTGTGTCCCAAGGATAAAGAGCATCCTGAAACAGGCACAGAAAAATAAGGCACAGAAATGATCAGCTGCTTATTGTGGCATGTGTGACAATTGGTTTAAAAACCTGCCCACTATTTTTCCCTGCCACGAGAAACTTTTTCTGGTTCAGGATCTTCAGGGAACCACTGGGAACATTTGGGGTCAGGATTAACCTTTTGGGATGATATGTGTTCTCTGGACACCACTTCTTTTTATCTTTGTAACCAGTCCTTAAGAGTGCAGAGGGCCTCTGATGAACAGCCTTCAGGGTCCTCTTTATATAGGTGGCATTTTATCTGATACTACAACTCCTATAACAACTTCAGTTTCGTCTTGGAGTCTGTAGCTTACCATAAAACATCTTTAGGATCCTTGAAAAGTAATAATCTGGGAATATCCTTGTCTATTTAAATTAAAAACAAAATTTGGGCCCTGGGTAGTGTGAGACTTCAGCTTCCCAGCAGATCTGTATGCTAGTCTATCGCTATTATTTCTTCAAAACGACCTTAACCTCAGGGCATCATTGAAGATAAAGACTTGGAGATAGTAGAGGCTTGATTTACATTTGATCTTTCAAGAACAAAGTATTCTGTTTTATTTGTACTTGCTGTTTGTTTTGATTTATTTAGGTTATTTTTATTCCACTGGAGCTGCGCTATGAACAAAGTAACCTATGGTCCTTGGAGGAGCCTAAGTAATAATTCCACAGTTGGATTGTCTTAGCTATTACTATTCTAGTTGCCAGAAACCTATATTGTCTCAGTTAGCTCATTAAGCCTTTTTATAGGGGTAGAGGGGTTTATTAGCTAAGATCATTCTGAGTGTTGACAAATGAACTCCTAAATCTCAGTTTACGTCAGTAACTCACATAGAGTCTAGATAGCCACCAGTGGGGAAGACAGCCATTTTGGGAATTAGGCTGACTTTATGTCATCTTTAAAAATGTTTCTACTTCCAACTAGTTGATGGGGAAGAGAGAGGTAGTTGGTCATAAGGACTTTACATTGCCAAGGTCCAGAAATGGAAGGTGCCCTCCCATTGGCCAGAACTCAGTCACATGGCTGTTTCTAATTGCAAAGGAGGAAATGTCTAGCTGTGTGCCCTGGTGGAGAATAACACTAATTTGGTGAACAATGAGCCAGTCTCTGCAACCGCAACAGCCTCTCTCCTTTGGTGACCAACTATCTGTTTCACTCTTTTCCCACACACATCGAGATAACTCAAAACCCCACCTGGTTACTATTTATGCTCAAAGTCCAGTATTTCTAAGTGTTTCCCAGTCATCTCCATCAGATTATAATGTGGCATCTTGATCCACCTTAGAGCTAAAAAGACAAGTTGTCTGCACTGTACCTTTCCCCAAATAATTACAAACCAACCACAGACAACAGCAATAAATCTCCCATATAGAAACAGGTCAAATGGCAGAGGCATGGCAATAGTTGGCCCATAAAAGTTGCAAAATCTTACTCAAAGAGTGGGGAAAGTTCCTTGATTAGAACCTGATTTTGCTGTTTTAGAGACACTACCTGTTTGCTGTTCTCTGCAGACTCGAGCTCCACCTTCTGGGAGATGCTTTCTTTTTTATTATTCTCCACCTCGGAAATCGATACTGAGAACTGTGCTCTCCTTAGTGGCTACAGAGTTTTTAGAGCCCATTCCTGCTGGTGCAAATCCAAGAGCCCAAAATTTTTATTAAGGCTGCTCTAGTCAAAGGTGTATGAAGTCAAGAATTTTCATTGCTTTTGGTAATATGATTTATAAATTTATAAATTTAGTGGGCTTGCATTAGACTTCATGTGGCAGTGACCACCATCCAAAGTTCCTTCCTAGATATACTTCGCAAGGTTGGCTTATGCCTTTTCTTTCTCATCCCTTGTCTCCTTCTCGATTTGTGGCTGATCACTCAAAGGCCATCTGAAATAATAGATGAGATGGCTGTAGCCTGAATCTGGTCATGTTTTGTGGGGCACAGAATTAAGGGGGTTTTGTAGCTCAAAATCTTTTTCAGTCTTAACTCTTCTTGTTTGGAGTCTGAGGTAGGTAGTGTTTTAACTTGTATAACTTCAAATTTCTGAATTTTCTCCTTTACTATACTGCCTGGATAGAGAGGATTCAACAAAGGAATTAAAGAGCTGGGGGGCTGGGTGTGGTGGCTTATGCCTGTAATCCCAGCAATTTGGGAGGTCAAGGCAGAAGGATCATTTGAAGTCAGGAGTTTGAGACCAGCCTGGGGCAACAAAGCAAGACCCTCGTCTCTAAAAAAAAAAAATATATATATATGTATGTGTGTGTGTGTGTGTGTGTGTGTGTGTGTGTGTGTGTATAAATATAAATATAATATATTATACATATATATAAAATAAAGTAAATTAGCCAAGCGTGTGCTACTCAAGAGGCTGAAGCTGGGAAATTGCTTGAGCCCAGGAGATCGAGCCTGCAGTGAGCTACGAAGCTATGATTGCACCCAGAGCAAGTCTCCAAAAAAAAATTAATTAATAAATTAAACTAGGAAGAAATAAATAACTAGGGCAGAGTGAGCCACTGATTAACTAAGCGTTTGTCCTTGAGTTATTATTTGTAGGATATCTGCACAAGGCAGCTGCCTAAACAGAACATTTGCGTTAGTGAGAAATAAGCTTTTCATATGCTAAGCTTTTGAAACTTCGATTTTTTGTGTGTGTTATATCTGTTAGCATATCCTGACTAATAGAGGGGTGGAGCATAGAATTTTCTTATAAATGTTTTGACCTAGGCACCAACTGTCTCTATGGAGTATGCCCTAATTTTCTCCACTTTCAGTGTAAAACATCTGAAATAGAGTTTGTCTGTTTCTGGTTTCATACACTCAAGTTATTGTAGCTTCTGAAGCACATTCTCATATTCTTCCAGTATACTTCCAAAGACTGCCCACTGCATAGCCAGCCAGGGGAAATCCTAATGGCTTCACACTTTCTCTTAGAGTCTCTTGTTTGAGATTGCATTGCCTGGTATGAGGAATTAGAAATATATTTCAGAATGCAAGAGTAGAAAGTACAGGTGAGCCTTGACACTGGAGAGCCTGCGGGAACTGGAAAATAATGAGGAACCAAGGCACTCTCTCCCTGGGGCTACCTGGTCTTTGCTCTGTTTCTCGCTGCATGCCGGCTTTGTTCTTGTCATCAGCGGTCACTTTACCTGCAGTTCTTCTTCTGCTAGAGTCCCCGCAGTTCCAGAGTTCACGTTACTTCAATTCAAGAGAAGAGCTCAAAGAGGAAGAGAACCTCTCAGCTGCAATTCCAAAATCCCGCTCCGTAGCATACAAAGTGGAGGAGTGGGTCAAAATGGTGCTAAGAGGTCCATTCCTTTGAACTGTGAGGTTCGAATTCCCAGGAAAAAAGAGAATGTTGCAGACCAGGCAAATACTTCTTAAGATTTATATGCTAACCAACTACAATGTCCTGGGGGACTGATACATTCATACCCAATCTGGGCTGATGGCATCCGCCTATATGAGAATAAAGTTGTTCTCTTTCATGCAAATAAACAACCACAGAACCGGATACCCTATGGTGTAGCTAAGAAAAATTGGATTTAGTCAGAAGACCTGATATTAGTTGTGGCTTTGCTTATCCTAGAAGTCTGACAATAGACAAAGCATTTAACCTCTTCAGGGTCATATTTCAGTGCTCTGAAATTGGGCTAAGGGTGTCACAGGTCCCTTTGTAGATTCGATAGGACTTTGATCTGGTTGTTTTGACTAAATATTTTGATGAATACTAACTGTTGCTGTGCAGATGGTGATAGTTTTATTTTTGAAGACTTGGGCTGCCTTTCTGATGAATTAAGTGAACAAATGTATTCTAAACACCCAAATCCATTAACCTTATACCAGTCCCCCCACACTAATTTCAGTGCAACAGGATCTTTCCCAAATGGGGACTAATTTCTAAACAATCCAATACGGAAAATTCATGAATTAAGTCTTAATGCATTATTAAAGCCATATTTGTTAAGATCACACAACTGCCAAATCTGAGAGTCCTATCTGCCACAAATGAGATTTGCATAAATGTGTTTTTAATCACTTTGTTTTCAATGTACCATAAGTGTCTTACCTAATCTAAATAAATGTTGGTATTAATTCATAGAGCAGTCAGTTTGTTCCTCTGTACTTTATAGTGCTCAAGAACTCTTTATCTGTGTCTACACGCTGTCCCTAAGGGGCCACTGGAGGCTCCTGTGTGAAATTGGTGAAGGGGTGGTCTGCTTTGGGCAGCTTCAATCCTCTACCCCAGCCAGAGGCCCAGGGATGAGTTTCCATATTATTTGCTTTCTAGCTGCAGAGTTGAGCCACCATGTTGGCAATCCGGAAAATGCTGCAAGTATCACTTTCCCCTTCATGAAAATTAATCCATTTCCTTTGAGTATAATATTCTCTCAAGGGCTTATTCTTTAGTGAAACAATGATGGTAAATTAATCTGAAATAAAATAAATAATGCTACTCCCTTAACAGCATCTTGTTGGCTACAGGTATTAACCTGAACCTGGTATCTGAGTCACTCATGATCCATATTACACTTTCCTCTTTTTTTTTTTTTTTTTTTTTTTTTAAGACATAGTCTCACTCTGTCGCCCAGGCTAGAGTGCAGCGGTGCAATCTCGGCTCACTGTGAGCTCTGTCTCCCGGGTTCATGCCATTCTCCTGCCTCAGCCTCCTGAGTAGCTGGGACTACAGGTGCGTGCCACCACGCCTGGCTAATTTTTAGTATTTTTAGTAGAGATGGGGTTTCACTGTGTTAGCCAGGATGGTCTCAATCTCCTGACCTCGTGATCTGCCCACCTCGGCCTCCCAAAATGCTGGGATTACAGGCGTGAGCCATCGTGCCTGGCCTACACTTTCCTCTTAAAGTTCATCTCTTGCCACCACTGAAGTCACGATGACTTACTTTCAATTATTGTTTTACTCCATATGCTTACTAGGCTACCCAATAGAAATTTTTACATTATTTTTCTTGTAATTCCTTTTCCATACTTTCTAGTAGGCAAATACCTGTACATTTAAATGTCAAACTTTTATGAAGAGTTGCTATATCAAAATAATACAGTGATTTATTAACCCTCCTTTGTGTCTGAATGTGTTAGTCCGTTTTCATGCTGCTAATAAAGACATACCTGAAACTGGGAAGAAAAAGAGGTTAATGGACTTACAGTTCCAGAGGACTGGGGAGGCCTCACAATCATGGTGGAAGGTAAGGAGGAGCAAATCACATCTTACATGGATGGCAGCAGGCAAAGAGAGAGTTTGTGCAGGGAAATTCCCATTTTTAAAACCATCAGATCCCGTGAGACCTATTCACTATCACAAGAACAGCACGAGAAAGACTTGCCCCCATGATTTAATTACCTCCCACCAGGTTCCTTCCAAGAACATGGGAATTGTGGGTTACAATTCAAGATGAGATTTGGGTAGGGACACAGCCAAACCATATCACTTAACAATTCGGTTCTTGTCACTAAAATAACATGCATTGACATGTATTGTAATTATATATTTTCATGGTTAACATCCACTAGACAATGTGGACCATTGAGAGGAAAGAATTATATTTTAATTTTAGCAGGTACCTGATGCCTACCAGGTTACCTGGCACTTAGGGTTTGTTCAAAATATTTATGTTGAATGAAATAAATAACAATTATTCTTAATATTCTGGATAATTAGTGTGTCAGCACCAAGTGAACAAAATTTTGGCCCAGGAAAAAGTCCTTAAGAAATTGTGATGTTTGGATATAAAATTTTATCTAGGAGCAATATTTTCCTGTTTTGCATTCATAAAGTCATAGCACAGATAGTGATAACTGGGTTTAATATTGTTGCTGGTGTTATTTGGAAAATACTTGAAATATTTAACCATCTGGCTATCTGTTCCTTGGTAACTGACATTTTATAAGGTAACTGGAGCTTGAAAGTTTTATCTAGGTATTTGAGAATAATGCCAAATACCATCAAGGCTTCTATATTGCCATTGTATACACAACTCATTGTATTGTTTTGTCAGACATTTTCTCATCAGAAGAAGAAAAAATTGTCTGTTATTGAGAACGAGTACACGTGAGGAAAGGATATTTGTAAAATAATAGAACAATGTTAACATTTTTCTTCTTGTTAGTATTAAATATGTGGGATAACAACTGGAAAAGTATGTAATGGGGTTCTTCCTAGATTGAAAGAATGCCTGATAATTTTAAAATACTGCATTTTATTTTATTAGGAGACAGCTGTGACTGTCTCTCCTCACCCTGACATTTTTTCTCCTAAGGACAAAAGAAAAAAAATTATTTTGTTGGCATTGTAACCCTTCAGGTAACATACAATCATGTCCTAATTAAACATTTGGAATACTATTGTTGTAGATCAGCAATGTGCTGAGCTATTTTGGCTTGTTAACTGTGGTCGCATGAGTAATGTGGGCTTAATTCTAGCTCTTTCATGGTGACTTTAACTGTATTAGTCACAGAGTTGAGCTAATAATTTTTTTAATTGCCCAGAAAAAGGCTAATTCCCAAACACTGTAATTTAGGTACAAAGGCCAAGGTATCTTCACATGAGATGTTTGCATTTGGAATTTCTTGAATAGGGTAAGTGTAAAAGTCTGGTTCCTTTTCTTGTTTTCCTGTCTTTATGGGTCTCTTAAACTGGCCTTTCTTGGCAAAGTTGTGTGCTCTTTTTTAGAGCTGATGATCTAAAGGTGATGTTTAGATGTATGACCAAGAGAAAATATACTATTGTTAAATAATCACTTACTAATTACAGTTGATTGGTTTGTCGAGGGAAGCTTAAGGACTAAAGGCCTTATGCCGAAACTATTTTAGATATTATTCACATATTTTTTGTTTTCTCCAACTTTGTGTACTATTAAACATAGCACTGAACTTTTTTATTTTTTAGTTGTTGAACTTTTTTTCTAAAAGTTTCCTGTTTTGTCAGTTGATATTTTCTTTCATTAGTGTTTTTCTGAGTGTGGTCTCTGAACCAGCCACATCAGCATCATATAAAAACTTTTTAGAAATGCAATTCTTCAGACCCCACTTCAGATTTCTGAATCAGAGAATATGGAAGTGGCGCCCAGAAATCTCTTTAATCAAGCCCTCCAAGTAATTCTGATGATCTACAGTAAAGTGTGAGAACTACTATTGAATGATTTTTTAAAAACTTTTGTTCTTCCTTTAGTTATTATGTCGGTTCATGTCATTTTAATGTTCTTCAGTTTTATTCTATAATCTGTCCTTGGAAGTCACATAATATCACTTCTGATTACATTTTATTAGTCAAGACAGTTACAAAGTTCTGTCCATGCTTAAGGGGAGGGGGCACAGACTATCTTTTGATGAAGGAGCAGGAAGCTCACATTATAAAAAGAATCTGCAAGATGAGAAATATCATTATGCCATCTTTGAAAAATATAATCAGCAATACCCCATAAACTGTAAACATATTTTAAAACATAAGGCTGAGAATAAATGTGATTATCCCTGCTTAAAACAAGGCATCAATGCGTGAATAGCTAAAAATATGGCATTAGTACTTACAGCCCCCCGCAAAAAAAAAAAAAGGAAAAAAAGAAAAAGAAGTGAAGACTATGTTCACCGGAGACCTTTAATCTTAAAAAATTTAGATGTTCCTTTTCCCCTTAAAAACAGATGCTCCTCTTCCCTTTTCCTCTTCTTAATACATTTAAGGGATTCAAGTGAGCTAATAATTTAACAATATTTGGCCATAGTCTGTAAAATAAGAAAAATATTCAGAAAAGAATAGAGACTCACATCTACTAGGTAATAGAAATGGAAACCATAGGTTTATAATTTCCCTGGAAAGGAGGATGTGGGTCTCAAAAAGTATCAATGAGAGCCCTTTGGGCAATACAATTTGCCCTTGGGCAGCCTGAGCCAATGTGCATGAAGCAATTATTTGGGTTTCTGGAAAAGTGGCCCTAGGAGTAGGAGAGAAAAAGATTTTTCCAGGCTGTACGTGAAAACATAGGGAAAACAAAGCTCAGCACCTTGGGGTGAAGAAAGAAGTGGGAATCAATCAAGAAGCAATCAAACAGAATAATCAGCTCAATTAATTGGGAAGAAAATCCATACCCAAAGCAATGAAATACAAATAAATCCTAGAGCAAGAGGGAAGACTAGGGCCATGGAAGATTCCCTGAGGGCTCCAGGGCTTAGCTGTACACCTATTATGCCCCAAGGCCTAAGTGATGGTTGACAAGTGATATGGGCTGGCTCTGTGTCCCCACCCAAATCTCACCTTGAATTGTAATATGTGTCACAGGAGGGACTCAGTGGGAGGTAATTGAATTATGTTGGTGGGTTTTTCCCATGCTGTTCTCGAGATAGTGAATACATCTCATGAGAGCTGATGGTTTTATAAAGGGGAGTTCCCCTGCACATGCTGTCTTGCCTGCCACCATGTAAAACATGCCTTGCTCTTCCTTCACCTTCCACCATGATTGTGAGGCCTCCCCAGCCATGCTGAACTGTGAGTCCATTAAACCTCTTTCCTTTATAAATTACCCAGTCTTGCGTATGTCTTTATTAGGAGCATGAGAATGGACTAACACAGTAAATTGGTACTTGTAGAGTGGGGTGCTGCTATAAAGATACCTGAAAATGTGGAAACGACTTTGGAACTGGGTAACAGGCTGCGTTTGGAACAGTTTGGAGGGCTCAAAAGACAGGAAAATGTGGGAAAATTTGGAACTTCCTAGAGACTTGGAGTGCTCAGAAGGCAGGAAGATGCGGGAAAGATTGGAACTTCTTAGAGACTGGTTGAATAGCTTTGACCAAAATGCTGATAGTGATATGGACAATGCAGTCCAGGCTGAGGTGGTCTCAGGTGGAGATGAGGAACTTGCTGGAAACTGAAGCAAAGATGACTCTTATTATGCTTTAGCAAAGAGACCGGCAGCATTTTTCTTCTGCCCTAGAGATCTGTAGAACTTAGAACTTGAGTGAGATGATTTAGGGCATCTGGCAGAAATTTCTAAGCACTCAAGAGGTGACAGAGCATACAAGTTTAAAAAATTTGCAGCCCAACAATGCAGTAGAAAAGAAAAACCCATTTTCTGGAGCAAAATTCAAATGGGCTTCAGAAATTTGCATAAATAACCAGGAGCCAAATGTTAATTGCCAAGACAATGGGGAAAATGTGTCCAGGGCATGTCAGAGATCTTCACAGCAGCCCCTCCCATGACAGGCCCAGAGGTCTAGAAGGAAAAAATGGTTTCATGGCCCGGGTTCAGGGCACCCCTGCTGTGTGCAGCCTAGGGACTTGGTGCCCTATATCCTAGCCACTCCATCCATGGCTAAAAAGGACCAAGGTGTAGCTTTGGCTATGGCTTCAGAGTGGTGCAAGCCCCAAGCCTTGTCAGCTTGCATGTGGTGTTGGCCCTGCAAGTATACAGAAGTCAAGAATTGAGGTTTGGGAACCTCCGTGTAGATTTCAGAGGATGCGTGGAAATGCCTGTCTGTCCAGGTAGAAGTTTGCTGCAGGGGCAGGGCCCTCATGGAAAACCTCTGCTAGGGCAGTATGGAAGGATAAAGTGGGGTTAGAGCCCCCACACAGAGTCACTACTGCGGCACTGCCTAGTGGAGCTGCGAGAAGAGAGTCACCATCCTCCAGACTCCAGAATGGTAGATCCACCGACGGCTTGCACCGTGCATCTGAAAAAGCCTCAGAGACTCAACATCAGCTTGTAAAAGCAGCCAGCAGGGGGACTGCACCGTGCACAGCCACAGAGTGGAGTTGCCCAAGACCATGGGAACCCACCTCTTACATTAGCATAACCTGGATGCAAGACACGGAGTCAAAAAAGATCATTTTGGAGCTTTGAGATTTGCCTGTCCTGTGGGATTTCAGACTTACATGGGGCCTGTAGCCCCTTCATTTTGGCAAATTTCTCCCATTTGGAATGGGTATATTTACCCAATGCCTGTATCCCCATTGTATCTAAGAAGTAACTAATTTGCTTTAGAATTTACACTCTCATAAGCAGAACAGACTTGTCTCAGATGAGACTTTGGATTGTGGACTTTTGAGTTAATGCTGAAATGAGTTAACTCTTTTGGGGGACTATTGAGAAGACACAGTTGGTTTTGAAATGTGAGGACATGATATTTGGGAGGGGCCAGAGGTGGTATGATTTGGTTTGGCTGTGTCGCTGTCCAAATCTCACCTTGAATTGTAATAATCCCTACATGTTATGGAGGAACCTGATGGGAGGTAACTGAATTATGTTGGTGGGTTTTTCCCATGCTGCTCTCGTGATAGTGAATAAATCTCATGAGATCTGATGGTTTTATAAAGGGGAGTTCCCCTGCACATGCCCTCTTTCCTGCCACCATGTAAGACATGACTTGCTCTTCCTTTGCCTTCTCCCATGACTGTGAGGCCTCCCCAGCCATGCTGAACTGTGAGTCCATTAAACCTCTTTCCTTTATGTATTACCCAGTTTTAGGTATGTCTTTATTAGCACTGTGAGAACAGACTAATATAATAAGATTACAAGGTCAGATTGAACATTCAGTACTATTTACTATTCAGAGATTATAAGCATAAATTCATAGGTCAGCTGAGCATTTTTGCTGATCTGGGCCAGGTTTGGCAGATTTTAAATTAACTCTTTTAGGCATTTGTGCTCAGCAGCACGCAGAGAGGATAGACAGCTTTGCTGTTTATTGACTAGGTATTTTCACATGTCTATGGCCTTCACTGGCAAAATTAGATGAGGCTAGACTAATTAGATGAGAGAAAGAAATAAATAACATCCAAATTGAAAAGGAAGAAGTCAAATTAGCCCATTTGCAGGCAACATGATCTTATACCTAGAAAGACCTAAATTCTCCACCAAAAAGCTGTTAGAACTGAAAAACAAATTCAGTAAAGTTGCATGATGCAAAATTATCATACAGAAATCATTACCATTTGTATACGCCAACAGCAAGCAATCTGAAAAAGAAATAAAGAAAGCAAACCCATTTATAATAACTACAAAAAATGTAAAATATCTGGGAACCAATCTTACCTAAGAAGAGAAAGATCTATACAAGGTAAACTATAAAACTCTGATGAAGGAAATAGAAAAGGACACCAAAAAAAAATGGAAAGATATTCTATGCTTATGGATTGGAAAAATTATTATTGTTAGAATGACAATATTACTCAAAGCAATTTACAGATTCAATGCAATCCCTATCAGAATGCCACTGACATTCTTCATGGAAATAGGAAAAAAATTCTAAGATTTATATGAAACTGTTAGGGGTGGAAGGTACCTGAGTTACTGGCAGTGAATCCAGTAACTCAGGTCTGCAGCAACCTCAATTCTTCCCTCCTCAGAAGAAACAATTTGACTGAGGGGCATAAGGCAGAAAAAGAGACTAAGGGAAGTTTTACAGCAGGTGTGGAAGTTCATTTAAAAGCTTTAGAGCAGGAAAGAAAGGAAAGTACACTTGGAAGAGACCCAAGTGGGCACTGTGAAGATCAAGTGTGGCATTTAACCTTGATCTTAGGACTTTATATGCTGGCCCACTTTTGGTGTCTTGTGCCTCTTTCCCATGATTCTTCCCTTAGGGTGGGCTGCCCGCATGTGCAGTGTCCTCCTTACACTTGGGAAGTGAGCATGAGCAGTGTGTTTAGGAAGTTGTATGCATGCCCATCTGAGGCTTTCTTCCCTTTTCAGGTGGAATGCTCCCAAAAAGATCATACTCCCCCATTTTGTCTCTTAATGCTCATGCCCAGGCTCACTTCCCAATACTTGAGATTTTATTACCGATTTCAAGTGTTTTTATTTATTTGGGAAGTTGATTCTCCCTGGTCCCTGCATTCAATGAACACTTTAATGTGACAGCTGTGGGCCACCAGGAGATTGTCTCTCCCTGGTGCTAGCAGCCAAATTATCATTTTTAGAGAGGCAATGTGATAACTGCCAAACCATACTGATGATCGCCTGACTTTCCTGGTGGGTGGGGAAAGAGCTCTCTCCTGTTCTGCTTATGCCTGTCTAACTACCTGTAACGAAATCACAAAAGACCCTGAATAGCCAAAGTAATCTTGAGCAAAAAAAACCCCAAAGCTGGAGGCATCACACTACCTCATTCCAAAATGTACTACAAAGCTGTAGTAAGCCAAACAGCAAAGTGCTGGCATAAAAACACACACATAGACCAACGGAACGAAATAGAGAACCCACATATAAATCCATGCATTTACCAACGACTCACCTTTGACAAAGATCAAAACGTACAATGGCTGAAGGACAATTTTGTTGATGAGTGGTACTTGGAAAATTGGATAACCATATGCAGAAGAATGAAACTAGACCCCAAGTTCTCACCATACAGAAAAATCAAATCAAAATGGACTAGAGGCTTGGATCTAAGACCTGAAAATATAAAACTCATAGAAGAAAACTCTGGGGAAATGCTCCAGGACATGATGTAGATTGTGCAAGGTTTTTTGAGGCTTAGAATAGGGATGTGCATAACTTCATTTCCTCTGCATTTTGTAGGCTTAAGGCTAGTTTGGATTTATTGGGTGGAGAAATAGAATAAGCTTGCTGATGGGAGCTGGTGCAAAGTCACATTGAAAAGGAGAATGGGTAGAATGAAGACAGTAATTGTGGCCACTATTACAATCTACTATAGTCATTGATCAAATTGAGTTTGATTTCTAGTGGGAGGAGATTGATGAGTCTGCAGACATGAAAGCAAGGAAACAGGCAAATAAATAAAGAGGCAAAGTAATATAGGCTGTAATAAGTGAAATAAAAAAATAAAGCTTTGGGCAAACGGCATTCTAGGCAGAGGGAACGCACATATGCAAGTTTTCAGTTGGAATGTACTTGCAGGTTTGAATACAAAAAGTTAGTGCATCTGGAGTGTGGTGATCCAAGGAAGGGAATGGTAGGTGAGATGTGATCATACAGGGCCTTGAAAGACAAAATACCACAGAGTTGTTATTGGATTCTAAGCATTAGAGGTTTTTCATCAGGGAGGATATCTCTTCTAAGTTAAACCCTACTTTGAGGTTTCAACATTGTAGATATCCTTAAATAAACTTTATAATTAAAAATATTTCCTAAGTATTCTTCTTTATGCCACTTGCATTTTTCCCTATCAATAGCAATTTGGGCTGCTGGGAATGTTCTCAGCAGGCCCTTTTTCTGCTCCCAGTTCAGTGGCCTCATGTTACCTCAGTGAACCCAAATGAGCCATAGGGCCAACATAGAAGAGACAAGACCTGGACTCCAGAGTAAAGGGAGGAGAGCTAACTGCAGTGGTTCATGACTATAATCCCAGCACCCCAGCATTTTGGGAGGCTGAAGCAGGAGGTTCGCTGGAGCCCAGGAGTTCAAGACCAGCCTGGCTAGCATAACGAGACCCTGTCTCTACAAAACATTAAAAAATTGGTCAGGCATGTTGGTGCACGACGGTAGTGTCAAGCTACTGGGGAGGCTGAGGTATGGGGATCGCTTGAGACCTGGAGGTGGAAGCTGCAGTGAGCTGTGATTGCACCACTGCACTCCAGCCTGAGTGACAGACCAAGACTCTGTCACACACACACACACGCACGCACACATGCACGTGCCTACACACATGCACACGCCCCAGAAAACAAATGCAGACAGAGTAAAAGGAGAAGGTTTTATAACTGGCACAAATAGAGTTTTGTTCTTTTACCATATTTTTCTCTGTGGTAAATAACTAAGAAGGATAAGAATGAGTGAGTACATTTATTGTGAGAAAAATTTGTGATGACATTTCTATGTATAAGATCAGTGGGAGCTACAAAGGTTATTAGGTTTTCACTTGATGTTTTTACACACTAGAAATCCAGAGAATAAGATTCTTCCGGGTAGAATATTATTAAATTGTAGTGTGGACATTCCGTTCTCTCTCTCAATGGCTGCTTTGAGAAACACTAACTGACTAGAGAACATTTTTCCAAGCCATCCCTACACAAGGCCAAAGCACTAACTAGGAACAAAGAAATTAACAAAAATACTGATGTCAGATGTACATACACATCAAAAGAGAAAACTCATTTTCTAAAACAATTCTTCCTGAAATTTTCATGTCATTGCATGCATAGATAATGGCAATATTTGCACAACACCCTAGGATAAAAGATAAGGCTTCTCATTGAAGGACGTGACTACGTTCAATGACTTTGGCCGCTACAAGTTCTATTTTGCTGCCCCTGGTATCAGAGGACCCTGATCCATATATATCTTGTAAACTGTGCATAACTTATTCCCTGCACTTTAGTTATGAAAAATAAAGATAAACTAATATTAAAACAAAATTGTTTTATTGTATGTGAACCAAATTTTGTTAATCCACTTAAACCTTGGATTCAGATATTTTTTGATGTTATCGATCCAAATGAATCTTATTTTGGCTTCTCTAGGCAGCTCTTGAGCTAGCTCCTAATTCCTTTCAGTATTGACTAAGTTCTTAAAAGGTGAGGAATAGAACTAGCTAAGAACGGTTGCCTGTTTATATTCTGAATGCAGAACTAAAATACTATGAATGCAGTCCATCCACATATCAATGGGGAAATGAATTTGTCTCTTTGCAATGTTATTTTCATTAGCAACATGTTTTCTTGGTTAGCTGTATAAAATGAGTACATCATTCTTGACATACTTTTCCTGGCACACTTGTTTACAATAGTTCGGTAATCATCAAGATACAAACTAGAAGCATGCTGTGCTTATGATGAGTTTTAGCGCCACACAAGTAGCCATGTTTACTTAATTTGGAAGATAGTGCAGTAATTTTCCACTTAAAATTCTGTCTAAGCATCTATCGTAGAAGCTATTTTCTTGGTTGTGGCTTTGTTGCTTTGCGATTTGTTGTTGTTTTTGTTTTGGTTATATATTGCCAGGCTTGTTTTCTCTTTTGCTATATTTGAATTAGATATTCCCAATTATGGAGTGGCTTTATTTAAGAATTATCCCCATTTTTTCCCCTATTTTCCTGGATGAGTTTTTGTAGCTCTGCTCCATGTTCAGGCAACTATTTCTTACAGCTTTATTGATTTGGGTCTAATTACTTGACCTAATTCACGCCATCTCTCTGTATTAAGGATGTTTTATGGCTTTTGTCTCAGCCTGTTAGTCTATACTTTGTTAACGATATTTTGTTAAAGGTTACAGACATTTTCTATTGGAAGAACTATTCCTTAATTTATCATTTACAAGTATATTTTCTGGGCATTCAATATTGCTATTCTCATTAATATTACTACCAGCATATTAATGAAGCAGCAATATGCTGGATAACACGGAGCATATGGAAGTCTACCTCTCCAGCTAACTAAAATTTGAAGAAAACATTATACTCTCTTATCTCTCACCGATATGGTTTGGCTATGTCTCCATCCAAATCTCATCATTGTGTAATAATTCCCACAATCCCCATGTGTCCTGGGAAAGACCTGGTGGGAAGTAATTGAATCATGGGGGCAGTTGTCTCCATGCTGTTCTCATGATAGTGAGTTCTCACGAGAGCTGATGGTTTTATAAGGGGCTTCCCCTGCCCTTTGCTCTGTACTTCTCCTTGCTGCTGCCATGTGAAGGATAATGTATTTGCTTTCCCTTCTGCCATGATTGTAAGTTTACTGAGGCCTCCCCAGCCATGCAGAACTGTAAGTCAATTAAACCTCTTTCCTTTATAAATTACCCAGTCTTGGGTATGTCTTTAGTAGTAGTGTGAGAATGGACTAATACAGTCATCTAGTTGAGAGAATGAAACTTTTGAGCATGAATGGGGAAAAGTCTTCTACATTGCACACCTAGGTATAATATTTTGGGCTATCTATGGTGTGAGTGACCCAGTGGCCATACATGATGGGGGTATAATGAAGCAGTTGGTTCCAGGAGTTGCATTTTGCTCTATTGAAAGAGGTCCAGGGTCTCCTTCCTTTTCAGGTACAGTTTTTGATGTAGAGGAAATGATTGGAACAGTGGTAGGAGACACAGGAAGAAATATCCTGCTGCACAGAGCATACACATCAACCCTTCCGTCTGCTGCTGCACCATCTGCTTTCTAGTCTGTAAGCCACTCTTGGGGAACACATGCAGGAGCTCTCAAACTTGTGCATGGTAGCAGGTAGCTGGCCAAGCTTCTCCAGAGCTTTTAATAGAAGTCAAGTAACTTTGGGTTAGTTATTTTCATTTGCTGTGTCTCAAATTCCACAATGAAATGTTTCTTTGTGGTTCAAATGTTTCATTAATGGAGTGTTTCATTCAGTCAATGAAATGTTTCTCAGGATTTAGAAATAAGGATGAATAACAGTCACACAAATACTCCCACCTCTAAATTGTTCACCAAAAAAGACAACTGCACTCAGTCAGGGTGGATAACCAGGACCATGAGAGCAGTGAGTATTGTTGTGACTCTTTGCAGAGTATATCAGGTAGTTTGGGTTTTCTTTTACTTTGCTCTCTCCCTTATGCCAGGAACAAGTAATGACAAGCTCTTGCCAATTTTGCTCTCTAAATGCTTTTCAAATCTGTCCTCCTTCTCTGCATCTGTGAATGCTATCTTAGATGACACCATCATCATCTTGCAACCTGACTAATGAAACAGTCTATTAACCAACATTTCTAACTTCAGCCTTGTTCACTTCAAATCAGTCTGTCACTGAACCATCAGATTTAAAATAGAAATCTGACCTGTCATTTGTTTGTTTAAAACCCTTGAGTGGCACCCATTGCCCAGTGGATATAAACTAAGTTTCCTAATATATAAATTAAAGCTCTCCATTATAGACTTTCCTCAGACTCTACCTTCACTCTTGGCTTCAGCAACACTGAACACTTGTGAAGTGTCTCTTTTTCATGCCTTAGCTCCTGATTTCCTGTCTACTTGAAGTATATTCTTTCTCCTATTCATGTCATGACTGTTTTTCACCCTTTAAAAGTCTGCAAGGATATCAGCTCCTCCAGAAACACTCCCTACTCCTCTCCAGGCTTGATTAGATGCTATTACTCTGTGGTCCATATCCTTGTAATTAATGCATTTTCTTTGGAATGACTCTATGTGTTCTTTCATGTGATTATCTTTACCGCTATACTACAAGCTCTTTGAGGACAGAAAATAAGGCTTATTCTTTGAATTCTTGGCTTCTTGCTCAGGACGTGATGCACTAAAGGCACTCAATTCGTATTTGTATATTGCATAAAGTAAAATGCCTCTGTGCATAGATGAAATCCTTCTGAAGCAAGGAAACAGAGGGAGAACAGAAGAGAAACCTGGGATGAACTTTTGGAAATTCCCATGAATCATGTATTTTATTGTATTCTATTTCATCTTTCTTTTCCTGTTCTTATCTTTAGAACAAGGGTTATAGCTAGATATCCTGCTTTCTCTGAATCACTTCAAAATAAATGGTATGAGTCTCAACACACATACTGCGGGTTCAGTGAATATTTGTGACTGATAATCCTTAGAATATCACTGAGATATTGCTGCATGTCAAGATTAAGCAATGTAAAAGAAAAATTGGTTTAGAGAGGAGATATAAGTACTCAATATTATATTGCAAGGAATGTTATTGTGCTTTAGAAAAAAAACATATGAGAACATTTGTGGAAAGAAGAAAAGTGAAAAGCAGAAAGATCTATCCTTTCAGTCCATTTGGTATATAATTCATCATCCATCTCATATCTTTCTAATCTGTCTCACTCTTTCCATCATCTGTTTGCCCAGAACCTACCATTGCATTAGCTTAATGCAGTAGCATTTTATTTCAGTAGCACCAAATACATTTGTAAACAGGAGGTAAAAGCAAATGCCAGCCTTATTTGTTTACATGTACTCTATTACTTACATAAAATCCAAAGCCACTTCCTTCTTCCTGTCTTAGGTATACAGTCAGGTCTGATGAAACACGAACAGTGACATCATTCTTTTATACCTGGAAAATCAGAACTAAGTGCTTTCCATAAAAATGTTCCATGTGAAATTGGCATCAATTAATGCACTGAGCTATTTTTTCTCCCGGATGGAAGTGTCATTTTAGAAATATGAAGACATTACTTCATTGTACTAGGAAAAAAATTCAGGCATCAGGAGGATTCTTATTCAAGCGTAGAAAGCTATTAAAACCTTACTTGAGGTTCCCTGTAGCAGGGCCTCTCTTGCATCCTGTCTTATCTTTGACAGCCTGTCTTAATGCAGAATCTTAAGGCCAGAGACAGGCCACAACTCAGAAGGGTGAACGTTGTGTCTATTGCAGTAGATTCTATAGCAAATGATTTTGTCTGTGGGTCCCAACAGTCGCCAACTTTCTTATCAGTGTACGTGTCTGGGAAGCTCATGACGGTTGACAGATGTCAATCAGGAAAGGTTTACTATCCCCTCTTGCCACTCACAAAGCACTTGAAAAATTGAGGCAACACAATTTCATTGAACTGTGCATTTGGCTACAAAGCGCTGTTTCACATTCCTCTACAGAACAGCAAGCTAGCATGAAATGAGGCATGTTTAGTTTAGTTCCAGTTATACACTTGATCTCATTAGCAGAGATAAAATTACTTGGTGAAATATCTGAAACTCTTAATAAAATTTCTGGAAGCCTGTTGGCTTCTTGGCATATGCGAATTTAGGATAAGTAAATGATCACAAGTTTGTCATGTTCAAAAGTGCTGACTGGGGCTTCTTGGGGACAACGAAAGAGTTACTGAACACCAGCAGAGCTCTCTCTCCCCCAAAGTTCATCAAAACATACAAACTATATGAAAAAGAGAAAAAGCAATGTCCAGTGAAACCATGTATCTGGAACAGCCTCTTGACACAACTATAAAGAATATCTGCCAGATAAAAGGAAATTTTGAACAAAATGAAAGAAGACACTGAGATTTAACTGTTGCTCCAAACTTGTGATATCGTTTTCAACAAAGTAAATGAGAGAGTTGTGAATCATCCTAGCCACAGTACTTATTCTTGAAAGACAAGAACTGGGCCATGGGGAGCCAAGGGTGAAATGCAGTGAGGGTCACTCTAGTTGAGGCCTATTCTAATTTTCTGAGACATCATGGAATTGGGCCTGAAAGAGATATTGTGATCCCATGCCATCTTAATTCTGCATAGCACTCTTAATCAGAGGTTGCCTGGTGTCAAATCATATATTAAAGAAAGTAAAAAGTGACCAGGCACAGTGGCTTATGCCTGTATCCAAGCACTTTAGGAGGCTGAGGTGGGAGGGCTGCTTGAGGCCAGCAGTTTGAGATTACACTGAACTATGATCATGCCACTGCACTCCATCCTGGGCAACAGAGCAAGGCCCTATTGAAAGAGAAGAAAAGAACACTTTAGAAAAAAAACTCTGCATTCTCAAGGAAATTAAAGAAAACATGAAACAAGAGATGATACAAAATACAAGTTACTGACAAATCCAGGGAAAGAAATTGAGGTGAAACATAAAATATGAAAATACTTAAAAGCTCCATTAGAAAAAACTAAAAGAATTGGTACAGTAAAAATCAAGAAGATGAATAACAATGAACACTAAAAAACAAAGAAGTAATATAAGAGGTAGGAGAGATAAGATCACACATACTACAAAGGGAAAATTATAAGACCAAAAGTGACTATAGCACAACCAATAGGCATGTGGGAATGGCAGTATCTTCTACGATCCTTGGAGAATTACAATTTCTCAGGGAGAGGACCTAACACTTGGGTGAGAAAACAAATATTTAAAGAAATCTTCCTAAAAATAAAGGAAGATTTGAATGTGTGCATTTCATCACTTATCTACTGTTGCATTACAGACATGAGCCACTGTGCCTAGCCAGAATTTAGTAGCATTTCTATACACCAATAATGCTCAAGCTAAGAACCAAATAAAAAACATGATGCCATTTACAATAACTATACACAAAATAAAGTATATCTAAAAAGGAGGTGAAATACGTCTACAAGGAGAACTACAAAACATAAAAAAAAGAGTCACCCCCAAATTTAAAGCTTAAAAGAATAACAACTTTAAAAAAATATCGCATGATTTCCTGGGTGGTTCTAGCTCAGAGACTTTCATGTGGTAGGCGGAGCTGGGACAGCTGGGGCCAGGCATCTTTCTCTCTTCATGGACAGGTCTTAGGGCCTCTCCATGTGGTCTCACCATGAGCTAGTTTGGGTCTCCTCCGAGCATCAGGGCCTTGGGACACTTGAACTGCTTACCTGTGACTTTAGGCTTCCAAGAGCAAATGTTTTGAGAGAACAAGGCAGATATACATGATGTTTTTGTAACGTGTCCTCAAAAGTCACTTAGAGGAACATCTTCGTTGATCAGAGACCTATCCACATTTCAGGTGAGGAAACATACGCCCCACCTCTTTATGAGTGACTATGCCCCACTTTAAGAAGAACATGTGGGATGGATGATATTGTTGTGATTTTCAAAAATACAAAAATTTGTCACGTAGATCAAAAAGGGTTACTAGAAATATGGTAAGAATTAATAAAGAATTAATAGAGAACAATAGACAGAAACAACTTGGTAAGGATATTGAAGTTTAAGGTTAAGAAAAAACAATATAAGCATTCCAGAAGAAGAAACATTTGAAGGAAAATGCAGGCTGGTCTGAGGTTTCTACATAGTAATGTTGAAGAACAGGAAGCAAAGTGCTTTCTTTGAAGTTATGAGGAGAAATTACGTTGTGTAGTAAAATTCTAGTCTGTACACAGAGATTTCATGTATAAAGATTACAGGAATATTTGTTTAAATATGGCTCAGGGTGTATATAATTTATATAATTTATTAACTATTATGAAAATGTCTTCCTGAAGACCTAACCTAGCTATATTAAACATATACATGAAGGCTGGGTGCGGTGGCTCAGGCTTGTAATCCTGCATTTTTGGAGGCCAAGGCGGGAGGATCACCTGAGGCCAGGAGTTTCAGAGCAGCCTGAGTGACACAGGAAGACCCTGTATCTACAAAAAAAAAAAAAAAATGCTGGGTGTAGTGGTGCCTGCCTGTGGTCTCACACACTCGGGAGGCTGACATGGGAGGATCACTTGAGCCCAGGAGGTTGATGCTGCCGTGAGCTGTGTTTCTGCCACTAAACTCCAGCCTGGGTGACAGAGTAAGTCAGTCTCTCTCTCTCTTTATATATATATAGTTTTTAAAAAATATATTTTATATTTTAATATATTTTAACAAGTATATATGTAATATATAGTCAAAAATAAAAAAGAATAGATCTTTTTGTTTGAACATTATAATATTAGCATTTTCCCATTATCTTCTATAAGTCATTCAAAAGCACCCAGGGAAACAATGAATGCAAAATAGAAATACCATGTCTGCTGAAACTGGAAGACAGTAAAACCCTAGATCACAAGATATGTGGGAAGGTGGCTTACAGCAAAGATTGTGCAGTGGAGCGTAGGAAGAAGTCAATACATGATGATGTAGAACTGGCATTAGAGAGCTTCAGCTCAGAGAAACAGCTAGCAAAAAACACAGCAGCAAAATGAAGAACATGCTAGGCCATAAACCCACGTTTCTTATTTTCAGCAGCAGAAACAGTGATATACCTGGAATGAGTTTTACTTAACTCATGGTTCCAGGAAGCAGAAGAGTTGAGACTATATGAGTAATCATATGGATAATCATATGCAAGTAGTACCCTCTCTGCTGCAGCCTGGAAAGAAACTTTGCATGAGAAAAGGCTCAACAGTGCCTGTCTCCATTGCATGGGGGAAATGTCACACCCAGAGACCTTGATCATAAAAATAATTCAAGCTTTATTCTTTTCCCTTTCTGACACATACTCCTGGCAAATATTTGGTATAGGAAAAATTCACCTTCTTCAGTGATACCTGCAGGCACCAGCATAGGATCTGCACTAAGACGAAATCAAACGAAAAGAGAATGTTTTTCATATAAATTAAAAAAATTAATACATTAACTCCTCCATCAAGTAAGGGTAAAAAGCAAAAATTCCCAAGCTCCAGAAAGATATTTGGAGACAATAAAAATTATCAGCTTGTGGAGCTGAGGAAAGTAGTATAGAAAAAAACCCAAATTATTAAAGAGTAAGCTGAAATTACAAGAAGTTAATTGAAAAATGGATTCTAAAATCCAAATGTACAGTGGAAAAAGGCATAAAATAGAAAAATATATTAATATAAAATTTTACAATTAAGAAAAATGACCAATTGAAAGTGATTTAGAAGTAATATATGTAATTGCAACCTTTTGTGGAGAATAGAAATAATAAAACAAAACAGATATTTAAGGATATAAATTATTAACTATTTTTGAGACACAAAAACCTGAACTTACAAACTGAAAGGACATATTGTGTTGTTCCCAGAAGAAAATAATCAAGAAGGATTAACAAGAAGACATAGTCCAGAAAAGTTATTTGCCTTTTAATGTATAAGAAGAATTTATTGCAAAACCAGATAAAAATATACAATGTACAAACCACATCAATTTACTCTTCTCTACAACAACCTTTTATGCAGTTGGTAGAATAATACCTAGAAAATACTATAGGAAACAGAATGAACCCTAATGTGTAACCACCTGTCAATTAAGTATAAAGGTATAGTACATTTGAGTGTTTTAAACACTTCTTTTATTTCCCCAAATTTTATTTTAGAATTAAAAAAATAAAGAATAATTTGATAAATATTCATATATATCCTTCAACTGAATTTAATAATTGTTACCTTTTTGGCATATTTGTTTTATCTCCAGCCTCATCTTATTCCCTATCTTCCTCCCTCTTCCTTTTCCTCCTTTCCTGTTACTCTTCTTTCTCTCTTCCTCACTCACCTGTTTTACTTTCTCTTTCTCTCTTTCCCTCGCTGTTTCTCTCCCACTGTGTAAGTGTGTGTGTGTTTGTATATATATGAGACAATCCTTTACACAACCATTATGCCACTATTGGCCGGGCGCGGTGGCTCACACCTGTAATCCCAGCACTTTGGGAAGCTGAGGTGGGTGGATCACGAGGTCAGGAGATCGAGACCATCCTGGCTAACATGGTGAAACTCCGTCTCTACTAAAAAAAATACAAAAAATTAGCCGGGCGTGGTGGCAGGCGCCTGTGGGCCCAGCTACCTGGGAGGCTGAGGCAGGACAATGGTGTGAACCCGGGAGGCGGAGCTTGCACTGAGCGGAGATCGTGCCACTGCACTCCAGCCTGGGCGACAGGGCGAGACTCCGTCTCAAAACAAACAAACAAACAAAACAAAAAAACATTATGCCACTATTACACCTAAGACAAATAAAATGATTTCATAATTTCTGTTAGTATCCAGTCTATGTGAAAAGTTTCTAAATTGTCACAATGATATATGTTATAGGTTTTGTGGGAGGGGACTATGATAAAAATTAGTTAGATCAATGCTTTACAGTTGGGGATTTTTGTCTGTTTAGTTTTTTTAAGAACTAAAATTCTTCTGCTTTAAATAATTTTTGTGATAGCATTCACTTTCAAAGCATTCAGGACAATTGACTTTCATATTTTCTCCAAATCTGAATTATCGAAGTGTTTTATTTGGTGTTGTTTAAGCTGTCTGCTCTTTTATTTTTGGTCAACTAGAAATTAAGTTTAGAAGCTTAGCATACAGTTTTGAAGTTACACAAACTTCAGAAATATTTATCCCATGAATTCTTTTTGAGGGATTTACTAGAAGACAAGTTTATCAAGAGATGATTGGAAAATTTACAGCAAAAGCATCAGTGATAATCATTGAATTTCTGTATTATTATTATTATTCTCATTGTCATTATTTTCTGAGACGGGGTCTCGCTTTGTTACCCAGGCTGGAGTGCAGTGGTCATCACGGCTCGCTGCAGCCTTGACCTCCCCAGGCTCAAGCAATCCTCCTGCCTCAGCTAATCCTCCTGATTAGCTGGGACTACAGGTGTGCACCAACATGCTCAGCTATTTTTTTAAACATTTTTGTAGAGACAGGGTCTCACTATGTTGCCCAGGCTGGTCTCCAACTCTTAGACTCAAGTGATCCTCCTGCCTCGGCCTCCTGAAGTTGCTGGGATTACAGGTGTGAGTCACCGCACCCAGCCGGGATTTCTTTTAGTAGCACCATTACAGGCTAAACCATTGTAACAAAATGATACTAACTTCAGTAACCTAAATTGGATAAAAACTTTGTTTTGTCCTGTTTTCATCAAATAATTCAGATGTGAATTGTCCAGGGCTGATGCAGTGGCTATACTCTAAGAAGCCATTCAGGGACCTAGGTATTTATGTCTCCCAGGATGTAGTCTTCATCTACAGGGGTTAGACTGTGCCATCCACAATCCATGCTCCCAGAAGAGTATGGAAACCAGGAGCAGGCAACTTCTTCTTTAATGAAATGTCCTGGAAGTAGGACACATCACTGTGGTTCATATTCTCCTGGCTTGTGCTGAGCTGGGAATGCATAGTTAGCTGTGAAAGAGGCTGGGAAATAGAGCCTATCACCACGAGCCCAGCTAAAACAAAAGGAACTCATTATTGAAATAGAAAATAACAATGTTACTGGTGGAACATTACAAGTTCCTTTTACAATTTAAATGCGTTCATAACACAAAAAGTAGGGATGAGGTAACACAAAAAGTAGGGATGAGGTAACAATAAAATATATATGCCAAATGCACTAACAATGAATAAAACAAAAATTAGGAAAGAGGAGAACAGAAGGTGTTATGTAAAGTATGCTGGTTTCCTTATTGCTAGTAACTGGAGATCAAAGGAAAGAATTAAAATTGATCAATCAATAAATTGATATATAGCCAAATTTAAAGTCATATGGTAAATATTGATTGATTTTCACTGACTAAAGATGGTGGCTAAGGCAAGAAGAGAAGCGAAAAGGGAAACACTACATTTATTATTGATTATAATATGGAATTAGTATTTATTATCTAACAAAATGGAGTGTCAACTGCAATTAGATAAGATTATACACTAAGTTAGAAGCATAAACACCATAACACATGAACAAATTTGAAAAGATGATATAGTGAAATGTTTTAAAAGCAGTGAAATCAGAAAGAATAGCACAAACTAAAATGACAATTAAAATCTAACAACATCTTTTTTTTTTTTGAGATGAAATCGCATTCTGTCACCCAGGCTGGAGTGTAGTGGTGTGATCTCGGCTCAATACAACCTCTGCCTCCTGCGTTCCAGAAATTCGCCTGCCTCTGCCTCCCAAATAACTGGCATGACAGACATGTGCCAATATGCCTGGCTAATTTTTGTATTTTTAGTAGAGACAGGGTTTCAACATGTTGGCCAGGCTGGTCTCGAACTCCTGACCTCAAGTGATCCGCCTGCCTCGGCCTCGCAAAGTGCTGAGATTACAGGTGTGAGCCAGTGCACCCAGCCCCAAACATCATCTTATCAATAATTGTAAATAAATAGACACATCATTGAAGAAAGATTTTCAAAGCAAAACTTTATACCATGCTGTGGCCGTGCCCAGTGGCTCATGCCTGTAATCCCAGCACTTTGGGAGGCCGAGGCAGGTGGATTACCTGAGGTCAGGAGTTCAAGACCAGCCTGGTCAACATGGTGAATCCCTGTCTCTACTAAAAAAAAAAAATACAAAAATTAGCCGTGCATGGAGGCACACGCCTGTAATCCCAGCTACTCAGGAGGCTGAGGCAGGAGAATTGCTTGAGCCTGAGAGACGGAGGTTGCAGTGAGCCAAGATCCTGCCACTACACTCCAGCCTGGCCGGCAGAGTGAGACTCTGTCTTCTGTCTCAAACAAACAAACAAACAAAAAACTTTATACCATGCTGTTTACAAAATCATTGACTTCCAAAGTAATTTAGACAGTTTAATCTCACAGAAAATATATTTTTAAAAAAATTTTAAAAAATAAAATTGTGGGCAAAGGTATGACAGGCAAATGCAAATGAACAAACCAAAAAAAAGCAGAGTTATGACTTTACTTTCTGTCGTTTGCAAAATCAGGTATGTAAAGAATTAGTTGAGGCGAAAAGAAGCAAGGCTTAGGTATGTGATTAATAATGAAGGAGACCTACCAGTTATGAATAAACAAACTCTTAACATCATAATGTAGAAAGTAGAAATTACAGAAGATACAAGAAAAAACGATCAGATATCATTCACAGTAAAGGATTTTAATTCATAGCTTCAGTCCACTACAGATGTCAGCAAAATTATGTAAAGTTATCAAAGACCCAAATGGCATAATTAGACTTTGAAATATATCACATTTTATAAAAATAGGTCATGTATAGGCGTCATGGGAATGCTTGATTGCAAAGCATTGATTTAAGAAAACATTTAAATGTCGCACATGGTGAACAAAGTTGTAGATCTAGATATTTATAAAATATACAGAAAGTTACTCTTTCCTGTAAATTAAACAAATAATAAAAAAAATCAAAATTTTTCTTTCCTCAATTTTTGCTTTAAGAGAAAACCTAATCCTAAATGGTACAACATCTAGAAAATTATAAAAATGGGAACACACTGAGGAGAGGCTTTAGAGTAGAGCCACAGCAGATCTTAGAGAAAAATTTGTATTTTTACATAAACATATGAATAAATGAAAACAGTATAACTGAATCAGGATTCAACTGAAAATGCAGGAAAAGAGCAGTAATACAAAACTTGAAATGATTAGCAAGACATTAATTAACAAAGGCAGAAATTAATGACTTAAAACATATAGAAAAGTGGACCCAATAAATAGATGCAAAAGTTCATTGAAACAAGTAAAGCAGATAAAGTGTTAACTAGTCTGACTGAGAAAAAATGGAAGAGCACGTACAAAACCCAAAATGGAGGAGAAAAGTAACCCTAAATACAGAAAATTTAAATGCTCATAAAAGATTACCTTGATCTACTGTATTCAAAGTTATTAAAAACTATTGACAAACTGATTTTTTAGTAGGAAAATATAATTAACCAAAATATACACACAAAAGAGCAACAGGCTACACTAAGTTTCCCAGAAGAATTTAATTAAGCCTTTAATAACAAACACTTCCAGGATTATTTAAACTGTTACAAGACACATCAAAATTCTGCACTTTGGGAGGCTAAGGAGGGTGTACCACCTGAGGTCAGGAGTTCAAGACCAGCCTGGCCAACATGGTGAAACCCTGTCTCTACTAAAAATACAAAAATTAGTTGGGCGTGGTGGCGGGTGCCTGTAATCCCAGCTGCTCGGGAGGCTGAGGCAGGAGAATCACTTGAACCTGGGAGGTGGAGGTTACAGTGAGCCGGGATGGTGCTGCTGCACTCTGCACTCCCACCTGGGTGACAGAGTGAGACTCTATCTTAAAAAAAAAAAAAAAAATCTGTAATGAAGTGAAAATAACATGAATAAAATAGGAAAGTGTTATATATATATAAAAAAAACTACAAACCAATCTCACTATGAATATAGAAACAAAATTCCTACATCGTGAGCAAAACATTACGGTAATTATATGCTATTGCCAAATGGCATTTATTCCAGAAATGAAAGGCTAGTTCAATAATGACTAAAATGAATTGATCTATGAAGGAACATTATATCATCGTTTCCATAAATGTTGAAAATCATTTTCCAAAATCTATTATCTATTCTTGATATAAATTCTTACAAATAAATTCAGAACAGATAAATATTATCTCAACATGATAAAATAAGCATCTCAATAAAAATGCTAGAGGAATACTTGTTAAAAAAAATTTAGAAGCATTCTCTCATAAGCCAGGAACAAGGTACATGTCTCCATTATCGCCATGATTAATTGAATGCAGTCTGGAGGAACTAACCAACATATTTAGACAAGAGAAAAAAATTACAAATATTGGGAAAAATGGTAAAAGTGTATTGCTATATGACAACATGATTATATAATCTGAAAAACTCAACTAAAAACCACTAGTAATAAGAGAAGTAAGCTGGTAAGGTACAAAAATAAATATACAATAATTAGTAGCCTCCACTAACACAAAAAATAAGATGATATAATGGAATACAAAACCTTATTTATATTGGCCACAATAAAAGACAGGATGCTTGGTATATTACTTTTTTATGGCTGCTGAAAAAAATTGTCACAAATATAGGGGTTAAAACAACATAAATTAATTATCTCACAGTTCTGGATGTTGGGAGTCCAAAATAATTTTCACTGAACTAAAATCAAAGTGTCAGCTGGACTGCATTCCTTCTGGAAGCTCTGGGGGAAAACACATTCCTTGTCTTTTACAGTTTCTAAGCAGACTGCCCACACTACCTGGCTCACAGCCCTTTCCTCACTCTTCAAACCCACTTCAGACTAAGTTCTTTTTGTACTAGTAACTCTCTTTTCTGCAAGTGCAACTTGTAAGTAGCCTTGTGATTATACTGGGCTCACCTGAATAATTCAGGATAATCTCTATATCTCAAAGTCAGCTGATTAGTGATTTTAATTCCATCTGCAATCTCAATTCTCTTTTCCATGGAACCTCCTAATATACTCATAGTTTCTGAGCTTTAAGAGGTGAACATCCTTAGTGGGGAGGGCATCTGCCTACCTCATTTAGTAATAAATTTGACAATAAAAGGGCAATGTTTTTTACAAGAAAATTTTGAGATGATTCAGAGAGCCACAGAAGAATTCTTGAACAAATGGAAAGGCATACTACTTTCTTGAACAAGGAGAAATACCTAGTACTTGGATTGAAAGAAACAAAATCATAAATATGTCAATTATTCCTGAATTAATCTACACATTTAATGCAATCCCATTTTTTAAAAAAGCAAGCTAATCGAATGATGTTGGAAAGAGAAAAGCTGATTGCAAAATACATATGGAAACAAAAACAAGCGGGAATAACCAGGGAAATTCTGAAGAGTAATGGGGGTGTTACTAGATCTTAAAGAATATTATTAGGCCTCAATAATTAAAGCAGTATGATATTGCTTATGAATAAACACATCAATAGAATCAAATTAAAATTCCAGAAATAGGCCCAAATGCATATGGAAATTTACAAAATGAAAAAGACAGCATTTTAGACAGTAATGAAAAGATTGTTTATTAAAACGAAATCACGTTATGACATTTTGGTTGTAATCTGGACTAAAGTTTTCTTCCACGTCTCATTTCATATCAGGGTATATTTCAATGAATAAAAAAATAGAAATAAAGCTATAGAAGTAGTATAGAAATCATTGTTAAAAATGTTGTAATCTCAGAATAGGGAAGGCCTTTCTAATAATAATGAAAATCCCAGAAGCCATAAGGGAAATGATATAAACTTTCTACTACTTAAACATAATAATGCCAATGAAAAAGAAAGACAAAATTCATCAAAACTCAGTTCTAACCTCAAGTTTGGTAAAAGCTATTTGTAACTGAGACAAAGTCTAATTTCCTTAATATATAGAACACTTCTACGAATTGGAAAAATAGGGACCAACAAATAAATAGAAAAAAATTCAAAGTATTATAAAAAGATAGCAAAGAAAAGACAATTTGAATTTTTGATATGGGGAGAGATTCTAAACCAAACTATCTCTTTAATAAGAGAAATAAAGAATAAATCTACAGTGAGATACTATTTGTCACATTTCAGGTTACCAAGGATACAAAAGGTTAATAGTTAATCTGTGGATGAGGGTGAGAAGAAAAGCTACTCTGGTTTTTTGCTTGTGAGAATATAAATTAGCATAATCCCTGTGAGGGATAAGGTCTATGAAAATTACACAGCGCATACCTTAATACCCAGCAATCCCACCTCTGCAACGTATTCTATTATGTATCAAGTGAAAGGATTATTCATTGCAGCTATCCTTTTTTAATAGCAAAATATTACAAAAACATCAAAATGTTTATCAGTAGAGAACTAGGTAATGAAATTATCGTACATCACACTATGGATACTATAGCTATAAAGCATAACGAGAAAAGTCTTTATGTGGGGGTATGGAAAGACCACCTGATTTAAAAAGAAAATACAACAAGATGTATAACATTGAGGCATTACTGGTGTAAAAAAAGAATGAATGAAGAATGTATATGTGATAGTTGACTAATACTTAGAAAGCACTTCCTATCCACTCTTGTCAAAATCTCCCTGTAAGGCAGGTACCGTCACTCCTTTCCCTAGACCGTAAGCAATATACCAGTCTTGTTCACTGCTTTACCTTCAGCACCCAGCACAAGATTTGGGCTCTTCGTTTCTAAATGTGGCATTTATTTTTCACTTTACTTAACTGTTTTCAGAATATAAACTGAAGTACTTTTTCTCTTTGGAATTAAATGAATATTTTTATTTGGCTAATATGTGATTACATTTTTTGGTAAAACTTTCTTGAATAAGGAGAAATAGCAAGTACTTGGATTGGAAGAATAAAACCATAAATATGTCAATTATCACTAAATTAATCTACACATTTAATGCATGATATGATTTGGCTGTGCCCCCACCTGATTCTCATTTTGAATTGTAGCTCCCACAATTCCCACCTGTTGTGGGAAGGACCCGGTGGGAGATAATTGATTCATGGGAGCAGTTTCCCCCATACTGTTCTCAAGGTAGTAAGTAAGTCTCACGAGATCTGATGTTTTTATAAGGGTTTCCCCTTTCGCTTGACTCTCTCTCATGGCCGCCGCCACGTAAGAAGGTCCTTTGTTCTTCGTTCGTCTTATACCATGATTGTGAGGCCTCCCCAGCCATGTGGAACTGTGAGTCAATTAAGTCTCTTTTTGTTATAAATTACCTAGTCACAGTATGTCTTTATTAGCAGCATGAGAACTAGACGAATACAATGCAATACCAATTTTTTTAAAGGTAAGCTAATAGAATGACGTCAGAAAGAGACACGCTGACACTAAATGTTTGCTGATGAAATGAAGGGTTCTTTATGAAAGGATGAAAAAAACTGAAGCTCAGATAGGTTAAGTAACTTGACTCCCATCACACAACCAGTTTGTGGAGGAGTCTCCACAGGGATACATTATCCTTGGAAGTATACACCCCCCGCTCACTCACACATACAACTCATCCTATTATCTGTGAAGAAAAGAACTGACTCAGGGGCCAGGGGTAAAGGTCAGACTTTTGCTACATGAACTTGATTTTTGAAGTTCAGAATAGTGGAATATGTTACATATTCCTAAAGTACATTAAAAATATAACTCACAAATAGGAATGTTCATGGGTAGAAACACCAAAGGCAAGCACAAAATTCTTTTAAAAAATAAATAATGTGAATACATTCTGTAATTATGTGGTTAATACTGTTGCAAAAAGGATGATTCTTGAAATACATCTTAAGATACTTAGGGTTTGAAAATACCAGACTAAGACAAAACTTCAAATACAGCCACAAGAGCTGGGACTAGAAAGTTGCAGGAAAGACAGGCAGTGTGCTGACTTTCATTCAGTTCTGTTTCTTGCAGAGGATTACCTCTCTGGATAATTTTTCTGAAGATGGTATATTAATATATAGGCACCTAACTCAGTCATTTAAAAGTATAAACATAGTCTCTAACAATATTAAAAACGGTCTTTCCTCCTGTGGGCAATAAAAACAAACCATAACTGAAAATGCAAGTGGAAGGACTTTATCTATTAAATGCACAATAATCCCATATGGGCTCATAAGTAAATCCAAATCCATGTTAATAAAACGTTCAAAGTGACTCAGAAAACTTAAAATAGTGGGTAAAGACACAATCAGCAAATGTAAATAAAAAGAAGGGAGAATTTATCAAAATTACATAAGATACAATTTTGAAAATATTAAATGAAAATAGAATTCCTTTAAAATTATAAACTAAACAATTTCTTAATAAGCCTTTATGTAACAACTAACCTGACATCAGAATACCTGAAAAAAACATTGCAGAAACTGAAATGAGAAACATATGCAACAGCAACAGGAGGGAAAAAATTAAGAAATCAGATTTTGTCCTTGGAATATTATGTGTGTAAAAGTTGTCCCTACATAGTAGTCTAAATATAGTGAAATATAAATATATTCTATTCAATAAATAATATATTAAAAGCTATAATCTGCAAACAAAATTTTATTTTTAAACAGCCCCTGGAACATTTTACAAAAATGTATTCACACAGCAGCCAAAGAGAAATACTCAATTCCAAAGAAGAAAAGTACTTCAGGTCATGTTCTGAAACCACAATTTAATACTGAGAAAAATAAATGCTAAATTTAGAAACAAAAACCCCTAAAGTATTTGACTATTTTTTCTTTTACGATGGAGTCTTGCTCTGTCACCCAGGCTGGAGTGCTGTAGTTTAAGCTCTTCTCACTGCAACCTCCACATCCCAGGTTCAAGCATTTCCTGTTGTGGCCTCCCAAGTAGCTGGGACTACAAGAGCACACCACTACGTCTGGTTAATTTTTGTATTATTCAGTAGAGATGGAGTTTCACCATATTGGCCAGGCTGGTCTCGAACTCCTGATCCCAAGTGATCTGCCCACTTCAGCCTCCCAAAGTGCTGGGATTACAGGCGTGAGCCATCATGCCCAGCCATATTTGACATTTTAATAACATTATTTTCTGACAAACTCTTGGGGCAAAAGGAGCTTATGGATCACAGTTGAGGAGTATTTTTAAAATAATGACAATAAGAAGATCTCAAATTTTTTTTTTACTTCAAAAAATAAATGAAATTTCAAGTGAAATATTCACATTCATAAGTTACATAAAACAATTCTGGGAACACAAAGAACAAAACTAATGAAAATTAAAAGGTAAATATATGAATTAGGAACAGAAAAATGGTATGATTGCTCACAGCCCCTTCTTGGGGAAAAATAATTGAATCACTGACTTTCCCATTCAAAGGAAAAGAAAATGCAGCACAATCAGGAAAACATTAGATATGAGAAATGAAAAAATAAATGCTGATGAAGTTAAAGAATTTTAAGAGAATATTTTACTGTTTCTCTTAATTCTATATTAATAAATTAATAAATCTAGATAGATAAACTATATTATGAAAATTACACTATTTAAAATGGGCCAAAGAAGGGAAAGAAAACATAAAATACAAAAATATAAGTAAGCAGAGGTCAAAACTCATGAGATTGTCTAAGAACTATACCTAAAAAAAAAAAAATCACCAGGTTCTGATAATTGCAATGGTTAAACTTTGTTAAACCCAACATGTAACATCTGATGTTTATGGGAAATAAACAATCCCATCAAAAGAGCCAAAAGAGCCAAAAGAAAGTTCTGCTTTCTATTTCTTGTCATGACACTATGTGACTATGACACATAGTATAATTTCTTATAGTTAAATTCAAAGATTAACTATAATTTCTTATAGTTAAATTCAAAGATAAAAACTATATAATTATTCTGATAGGAAAAGCCTTTGATATAATTCCATCTTTGTTCCTGATAAAACTCCTTGTATTTATTATTTAGTAAAAACGCCAAACACCTCAAATTAATTAAAAAAAAACCTCAAAAACTTCAAACAATACTTCAGAAGCCTTTTTTAAGCCTCTAAATCTAATTTCCAGTTTGTAGGAAATAGAAATGATAAAGCAGTAAGTTAAATATCACCTGGGAAAAACAATCAGATAAATTCATTTGGGAAACATATGAAAGTCAATTTATAAATATACAAATATAGACACAGAGAGAGCAATTATATCAATGTATATGATTCTCAGGTGATCAGTGATGACAGTTTTAGAAATGAGAAAATTATTGCCCTAGCACCGTTGTTTTTTTTTTTTTCCCACATTTTCTTGCAGATACTAGCCAATCCAATTAAGCAACACACAAAGGAAGAGGCAAAAATGTTTAAAACAAGAAAGAAAAAAAATTATTTTCAGACGTTATGTGAGAGGTAACAATTAAGGCTGATTACCTGCAGGATCCTAGAAAGGTCTATGGAAAGCAGATATGTCTGTGGTGATGGTCACAGGTTCACTGTCAGCTGCAGCTTCAAAGCTTGATTTCCAGTATATTTATCCTACCATTAGACAAGCTGGTATCTCCTTAAGCATTGCAGTTTAAAGATTTATAGCTCAAGATCTGGGGTTACTTTCTCAGAATCTGAGGTTCAACTCTGCCAGATCCCACTTTCTATCCTAGAATAAAAAAGGCAATAAAAGACCTATTCACCTGATACTCCTGCTGGCTCTAGGATCCTCTCGGTAAAAGCTATACTAACAGTCTTGGTGGAAATCCAAGAAAATAAACTAAAAATAAAACTGTTATGTACATAATAATAGAGTTTAATGAGATTTTAAATTATTACAAAACCATTAACTTTTCTATATACAAACAATCATCAGAGATTAAATGAGAGTCAACATACATGCTATAATATAAATATGTAGCCTCTGAAAATGAAGCAAATGCAGATGATACTGACGATCCCTGAGAACTGTCCAAGACATAGGAGTCAATCATAATCTCACCAGCCACAAACATTATTCACAAATGCCAGCAGGGCAAGCAGCATCTGACTGGGCAAGGAACATGACAAGAGGCCAGAGGAGGTAGAAGCCGGATAACCTTCACACTTCTCTACACTGTGAGGAGTGTATCAAAACCACCCTTCTCCCTCCAAATCCTCATATAAAAATTCCATCTTGGACCTAAGCTGGGTTGGGAGAAGTGAAACCTGAGAAAACTGAGTGAATGAGCATTATTTTTTTCCTAGGAGAGTCTGAGCACAGATTACATGTACTGAGGGATGTTCAAAACTGCTAAAGCAAAAGGCAAACCTACTTAAAGTATGGAACGAGACTAAGCTGTACATCAGATTGAACATTACTTGTTTTATTCCTACAAACCAACTGGTGAAGGGGCATGAAGAAGACCAGACTAGATTCATTGTATAGAATAATCGAGTTTATATTTTCTTTGAACATCTGGACTTTACAGTGAGTTGTTACCAGAGAGACAGTGACAGATATTTTTTAAAGATGCAGACAAAATAGGAAAGGAAATAATACATGCCAGAATTTTAGCATGATTTTCTCAAGATTGATTAGGTTTTCAGAGACCTTTCTCTTCTTAATTTTCACATATCTGTATTTTGGTAATTATAAAAAGTAAACAGACAAATTAGCACACAAAAAAGAAAACTGAAAAAATAATAGGTGAGAATTTTTAAGGCATACTATATGCCAGGTAGCATGCTAAGTCCTTAGTATTGTTAACTTATTTAATATTCCTGTCAACATCATGGGTTCTCTTGTTACTCCTATCTTACCGAATTGAGGCTTGGAAACACGAAGTAACCTGACCATTGCCATAAAGCTAGGTAATACTGAATCATCTATTAGAAGCCAGGCAGTCTAACTTCAGAGCACCTAAATTTAAGCAACACTTTCTGCTTCCCACAAGGTACCATAAGTCTTCCATTAGATGAACTCAGCCTGGCTCTTGTACTTTTACTCCCTCTCATCATTTGTATAAGCAAAACTGGAAAAAGAAGTAAACTGAAAATTCTTATAAACTGGGTGAATGTTTCTGGTGGTCTCATTTGGAAATCTCAAGTGCACTTTACACACTTGAGAATTATTCACAAAATGAACTTTATGGAAATTGTGGACAAATTTTTGAGGAAGGGAGAGCCTAATGTCATATGTATTTTTTCCTTTTATCTACCAAATAGCATTGCTGGCATTTCACAGAATTATAAAATATCAGATCCGCAAGAATGATAAGATCTCATCTAGTGTACCATAATCAGTCACTTCAAATTATTTTGTTAAAATTTGTTTAACAGCTCCTAGAGCACTGCTGTTAGCATGTTAGACACATAGTATGATTTGTTGCTATTATATAAGTAACTCCAGTCTTTTGTATTGATTACTTACTATCACAGATCCTCTTGGCCTCTTTAGTGATTTACTTAAACAGTTAATTTATTGATCATCTATGTTATTACCTAGATAGGAGGCACAAAAATAAGATTATCTACCTTCAGAAGCTTGTAAAATAGTAGTGAAGATTAGACACACAAATCCTCTGGCGCAGAAGGTATTGCTGTAAATATCTATGAAAAGTGTGTTATTTGTGCTGGGAGAGACCCTTTCTGGTTGGAGAATAAGGGAAGTTTCATGAAGAAAGTCCCATTTAAATTAAATCTGCAAATAAGGGTAGGATTTCAACTACAAGAACCCATGCTTGCAATAGTACGAAGGATTGGATATCAATATCCTCAAAGATTTGAGTTACCCAGGTTGGTTGTGATGAAGATGGATGAGTAGAATGAGACAAGGCTAAGAACTTAGATGGGAACCCAATATTGAATATCCCCTAATGTCCAATAAGGAAGCTAGCACTTTATTCATTAAAAACAGGATGCCACTGCATTCTTTTTGATGAATATCACAAGTAGAGATTTAATCTTGTGACTATGTACTGTTTTGATTGTAGATTAAGGAAGCTGGATGTAGAAATACAAGCCAGAACGCTAATACAACAGTTCAGATGAGTACTTGAAAGGGGAAAGTGGTCCTAGAAATGGAATGAGAGAGGATAAAAGTGGCATCACTTCCATGGGACTTAGTGACAGATTGTGAGAAAGGAACTTTAATGCTAGGATTTTGAGTATGAATGCTCAGAGGAATTGTGGTATAATGGAGGGAAAAAAGAAAAATATTCAGGATCAGGGACTACAGAAATTATTAACTTTCATTTTTACATGAAGAATTTGAAATAACCTGTGGTACTTCAAGATATAAATGTCTTACAGGTGGTAGGAAATATCATAATACAACAAGAAAGAATGGTTATCTTGGGAACTATACATTTTGGAGTCATTCACATCGTATGATAGTCACAGTGTTAAAATGATCAGGCTACACAAGGTAGATTTAGAGAAAGCTAGCAAGTTGTGGACAAAACCTTGGGCAATGCCTACTTTTTTTTTTTTTTAAGCAACAATAGGATTAGGAACAAGTAAGGAAAGAGAAATGGTCGAAGACTGAGAAAGAATATCAGAAATAATAGCTGCAATAAGAAATGCAAATTTAAAAACAAGATTGGCTGACAATTCCAAATGGTGTGGAATTCTTAAGGAGCAGCAGTGGGGTGGAGGGTTGTTGAAAGAGGGAAGGCTTTGAAAGGAGCATGAGGATTAATGTTGAAAAACACACATCATTATTAAGAAATAGAGTAGGCTATTTGGGAAAGAAGCCAAAATGCAAAGGTTTGGGTCATCAGTTACATTGCTGTCTGTTTCCTTCATCCTGTATCTTGTTTTGTGCACTGAAGATTTTTGTGGATGCTAATCTTTATAAACAAATTTTTATTTGGCTATTAGTGGCTAATAATGCCTTGCCAATTTTATTTTGTCTAGGAAACACATTTCAAAGGTGATTTCAATATTTCAAGGAAAACAATGGTAAATAATTATTTGTTGAGGGGAGATGTACTAAAAATACAGTGGAAATCTAGATTTTAAGGGGTGAAGCATGTGAAATTTAGAAGCCCATAAGTCACAAATTATGCCTATTTCACCTACCAAATCTATTTAGATCCTATGTACTCAGAATATTCATAGATTATCAGCCACGACCTTACAAACATTGAAAATATGGAGCAATTAATTTCCTAGAAAAGGAAAAGATTGTTTTTGCATTCTTTTGACTAGATGGAGGTGCAATTCCTGGAGCAGTAAGTTTTCCACTTCAGAAAAAAAATAAGTTATTAATTGAACTATTAATTTACACAGGAATACTTTATCTTATGGAATATTCAGTAGAGATTTTTCTTGAAACCTTAATTCTCTATTGAGGTGATTTTAAGTTTCCAGGTAATTATTGAAGCTTCAAAAACAATGAATAAAACTTACCAAATTTACCCTTGAAGATAAATTTAGACTTTAATTGTGTATGTATGTGGAGTGTGTGTGTGTTTAGAGATGATAGGGTATTTATAAAGATGAAGTGAGTTGAAAAGTGAATATACTTAAAGAAGCTATTCCTTTATAAACAGATTTTCAATGTACTTTTATACCTTTACAAAAGGACAAGTTAAAAAATGTGTTAAAACATTCGCAAAGGAAAATAATAAAGTTCACACTGAATTTCAGAAATCAATTTTTAATGTCTTCCACTGCTTTCTAAAAAATAAATGCAAGTCGATACTCATCTCGACTTCTGTTTTAATTTTCATTATTTAAATTGGGAAAAACAATAAGGGATGTATATATTGTTTAATGATGGATTAGAGAAATAACCAAGTAATTTTTATTTTAAAAAGCAAAAACAAAATTATGTGGTGAGTTAATCAGATATGAACATTATAATCCAGTAGAAATAAATTTTATATATCAATTACTGTTATTATTTTGTACTAAAGTTTAAATACATTTTAAGGTTTCAATTAATATTTTTCTTTGATTTAGACATAAGACATGCCTGTAAGATAATGTGCTTATTTTCATCATTATTGAAGTATAATGTGATAACATAAAATTTATCTACTTTGTTTGATAAGTTAATTGACAAATGTGTAATTACTGCCATAATTATGATATAGAACATTTTCCTCATCCCAGTATTTCCCACATGTACATTTGCAGCTAATGCCTTCCGTCTACATGTGGCTCCTGACTAGCAGCCCCTGGTCTCTCTACAACTACAGTGCAATCCTTTTTGTCTGGCTTCTTTCACTTAGCATATTTTTGAACTTTATCCATGTCATTGCTTATGTCAGTAGTTTATTCTTTCAATTGCTGAATGATATTCTATTGATATATATATAAATGGAATATATCAATGGAATATATATATATCAATGGAATATATATATCAATGGATATATATATATCAATGGAAATATATGTATATCTCAATGGAAACAATGATATATATATCTGGAATATATATATATCTGGAATATATATATATCTGGAATATATATATATCTGGAATATATATATATCTGGAATATATATATATCTGGAATATATATATCTGGAATATATATATATCTGGAATATATATATCTGGAATATATATATATCTGGAATATATTTATATCTGGAATATATATATATCTGGAATATATTTATATCTGGAATATATATATATCTGGAATATATATATATATATGGTGTATATATATTTATATATCTCACAATTTGTTTATTCTTTACCCTGATGATTGACACCTAGGCTATTTTTACTTCAATGCATGCTTCTGTTTTCCTTGGACAAATATCTAGGATGAAGATTGATGGGATATATGGCAGGTATCTGATGATAAAAAAATGTTCAAATTGTTTCCTAAAGTAGCTGTACCGTTTGCTTTCCCACAAGCAATGTATGAGAGTTTCAGTTGCCCCCGTTCCCTGCCAACACTTGGTACTGCATTCATCGTAATTTCAGCTGTTCTAGTAGGTGTGGTGGTTTCTCATTGTAGTTGTAAATTGCACTTCCCTATTGACTTATGATGTGCCCTGAATGATGACTGTTCCATTTGTGTAATTTATTTGATGAAATGTTTCTTCCAATTTATTACCCATTGTTAAAAAGTCAGATTTTTTTTTCTTGATATTGACTTGTAAAAGCTCTTTACATTTTCTGGATAGCAGTCTTATCTGATATTTGTGTTTTATAAATATCTTCTCCATAGGTATTTTCTTCTTTTTGGTGCTATTGAAACTGGAATTGATTTCTTAATTCCATTTTTAAGTTGTTAATTGCTAGTGTGAAAAAAATACAATTGATTTTTGCATATTGATCTTGTACCATGTAACCTTGCTAAACTTATTAATTCTAATAGTTTTTTACTGTAATCCTTAAGATTTTTTAATATAAAAATATGCCAACTGTGAATAGAGATAAATTTATATCTTCCTTTCTAATCTGTCTTCATTACTGCTCTGTATGTCTTTTACTTCTCTTGTCTAATTTTTCTGGCTAGAACCCATAGTACAATGTTAAATGAAAATGATGAGAACAAAAATTTCTGTTTTGTCCTTGATTTGCGAGAATATGTTTAATCTTTCATACTATTGATTATTATGTTAGTTGTGTTTTTCTTCATAGATACCCTTTATTAGATTGAGAGTGTTCCCTTGCATGTTTGGTTTTTAAAGTGTTTTCTTTTTTTGATCATGAAAGAGTGTTGGATTCTGGCTTCTCCATACTGTTACATTGGTCTATGAGTCTGTTTTTATGCCAGTACCATGTTGTTTTGGTTACTATAGCTCTGTAGTGTAACGTAAAGTCAGGTAGTGTGATTCCTCCAGTTTTGTTCTTTTGCTTCAGATAGCTTTGGCTATTTTGGGTCTTTTGTGGTTCCATATAAATTTTAGAATTTTGGAGATAGATATGCTTTTGTGTCTATGGAGACGATCATGCGGTTTTTGTCCTATATCCTATTAATATGATGTATTACCCTAATTGATTTTCAGATGGGAAACCAACCTTTTATTTCTGGGATAATTACACTTGGTCATGTTTTATAATCTTTTTGTATGTTGGGGGGTATGGTTTGCTACTATTAAAAAGGTTTGCATCTATATTCATAAACAATATTGTGCTTTTTTACTTATGATGTCTTTAGTTTGGGTGTCAGGATAATACTGGCCTCACAGGATGAGTTGAGAAGTGTTCTCTCAGATTTTTATTTTTATTTATTTTTAATTTTTTAACGTTGCTTTTTTTAGATCAGCCAATGATTTTACTTTTTTTCCATTTTTTAATTCGTTTTATTTTTCATGTTATTGGGGTACAGGAGGTATTTGATTAAATGAGTAAGTTCTTTAGTGGTGATTTGTGAGATTCTGGTGTACCCATCACCCAAGCAGTATATACTGCACCCTATTTGTGGTCTATTATCCCTCGTCTTCTCCACACTTTCCCCCAGGTCCCCAAAGTCCATTGCATCATTTTTTTTTGTTATACTTTAAGTTCTGGGGTACAAGTGCATAACGTGCAGGTTTGTTACATAGGTATACATATGCCATGGTGGTTTTGCTGCACCCATCAACCCATCATCTACATTAGGTATTTCTCCTAATGCTATCCCTCCCCTAGCCCCCCACCCTCTGACAGGCCCTGGTGTGTGATGTTCCCCTCCCTATGTCCATGTGTTTTCATTGTTCAGCTCCCACTTATGAGTGAGAACATGTGGTGTTTGGTTTTCTGTCCTTGTGTTAGTTTGCTGAGAATGACGGTTTCCAGCTTCATCCATGTCCCTGCAAAGGACATGAATTCATCCTTTTTTATGGCTGCATAGTATTCCATGGTGTATATGTGCCACATTTTCTTTATCCAGTCTATCATTGATGGGCGTTTGGGTTGGTTCCAAGTCTTTGCTATTGTGAACAGTGCCACAATAAACATATGAGTGCATGTGTCTTTACAGTAGAATGATTTATAATCCTTTGGGTATATACCCAGTAATGGGATTGCTGGGTCAAATGGTATTTCTAGTTCTAGATCCCTGAGGAATCGCCACACTGACTTCCACAATGGTTGAACTAGTTTACAGTCCCACCAACAGTGTAAAAGTGTTCCTATTTCTCCACATCCTCTCCGGCAACTGTTGTTTCCTGACTTTGTAATGATCACCATTCTAACTGGTGTGAGATGGTATCTCATTGTGGTTTTGATTTGCATTTCTCTAATGACCAGTGATGACAAGTTTTTTTTCATGTTTGTTGGCTGCATAAATATCTTCTTTTGACAAGTGTCTGTTCATATCCTTCGCCCACTTTATGATGTTATTATTTTTTTTTAAAAGAGATTGTCAAGAATGAGCACTAATTATTCTTGAGTTGCTTGGTAGAATCACCAGGGAAGCTTTCTGGACTTCGATTTTTCTTATTGGGTAGTGTTTTAAAAATTATTACTGTTACTAACTTCATTTCTCCACTTGTTATAGGTCTACTCAGATTTTCTATTTATTCTTAGGTCAGTTTTGGTAGTTCCTGTCTTTCTGTAATTTGTCCTATCATATAAGTTATCTAGTTTGTTAGCATATAGTTCTTTGTAGTATTCCCATATAACCTTTTTATTTCTCTATTGTCAGTAGGGATGTTTCCTCTTTCATTACTGAATTTAGTAATTTAAGTCTTGATGTTTCCTTCTTTAGTTTAGCTAAAAGTTTGCCAATTTTGCTGGTCTTTGAAAGAATCAACTTTTGGCTTTTGTTTTTATTTTCTATAGCATTTTTGTATGCTCTTTCATTTATTATAATTTTTATCTTTCTTTCTGCTTGCTTTGAGTTTCACTTGCTCTTATCTAGTTTCCTAAAATGTAATAATAGGTTATTTGAGCATTTTTTTTTTTTTTGAGACAGGGTCTCACTCTGTCACCCAGACTGGAGTGAAGTGGGTCCTCAATTACTGCAGCATCAACCTCCTGGGCTCAAGCAATCCTCCCATCTCAGCCTGCCAAGTAGCTGGGACTATAGGTGTGCCACACCCAGCTAACTTTTGCATTTTTTTGTAGGGCCAGGGTTTCAGCATGTTGCGCAGTCTTGTCTCCAACTCCTGGACTCAGGCGATCCACACACCTCTGCCTCCCAAAGTGCTAGGATTACAGGCGGGAGTTAATGCACCCAGCCTCTTTCTTCTTTTCTAATATAGGCATTTATCACCATAAATTTCCCTCTGAGCACTGCTTTATCTTAACCCCATAAATTTTGGTATGCTGTTTTTAAATTTCTATTCATCTAAAAGCATTTTTCTAATCTTCTTTGTGATTTCTTCTTTGATTCATTTGTCATTTTAGGGATATGTTGTTTCATTTCTACATATTTGAGAATTTTCCAAATGACTTTCTTACTGATTTCTAATTGTAGTTTTATTTTTAATTTTTCTTCTCTTTTTTGTCTATTTCTCCCTTCAACACTGTGAGTGTTGGCTTCCTCAATTCTGGGGGTCTATTGTTACATGAATATGTGATGCCTCTGCTCATTTTCCCCCCTCATTTTTGTTTTCAGTCTGGCCTTCTAGAGTTGTTCTGTTAGCACCATCAGAGGTTGTGTCTTCTGGGACCAAAGTTTTCAGCTTTTATTGTTGCATCTATGCGGTTTGGAGATTGCTTTCATTGTACCAGGAGCCTATGAGTTTGCCCTGCTTTCAAACATGATGTATTGTATTAGTTCGTTTTCACACTGCTGATAAAATTAAATGGTAGATTAATAAAAGATGTTTTTCTATGTTTTCTCACACATATACCATTTCTAGCATCGCTCGTTATTTTTTGTGAATCCACACTTTGATCTGGTATCTTTTTTCTGTCTTCATGAAGTATTACTTTATCTTGCAGTGCAGAAGAGCTGGAAGAATTCTGGAGGTACATATTCTTATCTTTTGTTGAATCTAAAAATGTCTTAATTTCACCTCCATTGTTGAATGACATATATGTATATATGCTGGACATAGAATTCTGTTTTTATTTTTTCCCCCTCAGGATTTTGAGGAAGTCTTTCCGTTTTCGTCAGGCTTCCATGGTTTGTGACTAGAAGATTGCCATAATTCTTTTCTTGTCATATTTATATAATGCACCATTTCTTTTGGCTGCCTTAAGGATTCCCTTTATCTCTCATTTGCACAATTTGATTATGATGTGCTTTAATGTCATTTATGCTTCTGTTTGGGGTTCACTGGCACTGTTAGATGATTGAAAATATAGTTTTTAACAGTTTTATAAAATTTTGGCTGTTATTTATTCAAGTACCTTCTCCTCTTTTTTCTTCTCCTTCTGGAATTCCAGTTATGCAAACTTTTTTGTCATTTGATATATTCCCACAGGTCATTGACGTTCTGATCATATTTTTAATATGTCTTGTCTCTTTACACCATTTGGAATAATTTCTAATTCCTGCTCAATTCACTATTTATCTCCTGTTAAGTCTAGTGCATTTTTCATTTATATGTTGAATTATTCATCTTTAGATATTCCATTTTAGTTGTTTTTACATGTCCCATTTCCCTCCTAGTTATGTTCCTGGTTCCTTTATATCCTTGAGCATGTTCATAAGACATATGCTAACTGTTTTAATGTGTGTTTATTTTTATCCTATTATCTTTATGCATCCATTTTTGTTAATTTTTTTCTCCTAGTTATGAGTAATCTTCGTTGCATATGTGATAATTTTGGACTGATGCTGAAAATTGTGCATTTTACATGGATAGATGATGGATTTTGTTATGTTTCTTTTAAGAGTGTTGAACTTCGTTCTGGCATGTGATTAAGAAACATGTTAATTAGTTGGACCTTTTCATAGCTTCTTATGGCATTCCGAGAGGCATTTAGTCTGAGAATAACTTAGCCTTACTTCTGAGACGACTCTTCTGAGGACTCTACTCAGTGGCCCATATGTTACAAAAGATCTCCACTTTCACTGGTAAGAACATAACAGTAAAAGCTGTGAGGATTGTTTACAATGCCTCTTTCCAGTCATTTTTTTCTGGCCTTAAGTGATTTCCTCTCATTCACGTATTGACAAAGATTTAGCCAGAAACTCAGAGGGTTCTATGTGGATCTCTGAAAACCTGTCCCTCCACTCCTTTTCTTCTGTATTCTGCCACAAAAATTCTAGACATGTCAGCCTGTCCACATCCAATCTTGTTCTGTTTAATTCAATTTACATCTGCTAAGTTCTGCTTGAATTGCCTCTCTATGTGAACAGACAACCTATAGAATGGGAGAAAATTTTTGCTATCTGTCCATCTAACAAAGGTCTACTTTCCAGAGTCTACAAGGAAGTTAAACAAATTTGCAAGGAAAAAAAAAAACCATTAAAAAGTGGGCAAAGACATAAAAAGATACTTCTCAAAAGAAGGCACTCATGCAGCTTAACAAACATACGAAAAAAAAAGCTCAACATCACTGATCATTAGAGAAATCCAGATCAAAACCACAATGAGATACCATTTTATACCAGTCAGAATGACTACTATTAAAAATTCAAGAAACGAGACGCTGGTGAGGATGCAGAGAAAAAGGAATGGTTTTACACTGTTGGTGGAAATGTAAATTAGTTCAGCCATCGTAGAAGACAGTGTGGTGATTCCTCAAAGATCTAGAAGCAGAAATACCATTTGACCAAGCAATCTCATTAGTGGGGATATACCAAAAGGAATATAAATTATTCTATTATAAAGACACATGCATGCATATGTTCACTGCAGCATTACTCACTATAGTAAAGACAATGGAATCAACCCAAATGCCCATCAATGATAGATTGGATAAATAAAACGTGGTACATATACACCATGTAATACTATGCAGCCTTAAAAAGGAATGAGATCATGTCCTTTGCAGGAACATGGATAAATCTGGAAGCTGTTATCCTCAGTAAACTAACTCCAGAACAGAAAACCAAACACCACATGTTCTCACTTATAAGTGGCAGCTGAACAATAAGAACACATGGACATATGATGGGGGGATGGGTGGGGGGAACAACATACACTGGGGCCTGTCGGTGGGGGCAATGGGGAGGAGGAGCATCAGGAGGAATAGCGAATGGATCCTGGGCTTAATACCTAGGTGATGGGTTGATTTGTGCAGCAAAACACCATGGCACACGTTTATCTGTGTAAGAAATCTGCATATCCTATACATGTACCTCAGAACTTAAAGGTTAAAGAAAAAAATCCAAAAATAACATATACAGAAACTAAAACAAACAAAAAAAATGAATTGCCTCTCTATTCACTACAGTCTCAAACTGCCTCTATGCAGTAAACTGGGGCCATCATTTTCATATATTTTGTTTCATTTTCTAGTTTTTAATGGTGGGAAGGCAATTGCTGTAGCAGTTAATTCTTAGTGAGGCATAAACCCTGTAACTTATTTGTAAACATGAATTTTTACAATCTAAATAATGCTCTTTCAAAGTAATAATAGTGTTCCAACACTGTTAATATTTCAGAATTAAACAAATAAAAATAGCTAACATTGATCCACTGCTCACAACTGCACAACAAAAATTACAGGCATTTTATAAACAAGTTCTAAAACTAGAAGAATCTTCTTCAAAAGTTGATTTATCATTTCAGAATATCTTCTATGATAAAAATTCAGTCCTGAAGGTTTTGATTAAGCTACTTATATTTGAGAAGTTAATAAAACATATGGTCAATACAACTATTAAGTTTTTGGAAGAAAGAGGTGATTATTTTAAACAATTAGACTCCCTAAGAATTTGCATATGTGTCCTCCCTTCCTTTTGTCCTGGTAAACTCTTACATATGCTTCTAGACTCAACTCAGATTATGTCTTCACCTGATCAAGCTCCTTTCTACCTCTCCGCAACTGTGTTCTGTGTCCTCCTTATGTGCTTTCAAAGCTCTCTGTACATACTACCCTGTGGCACATACCACTCCTGACAACATGCCTGTGTTCTTTTCTGCTCCTTCCATTTCATATGTTTTTTTTTCTTTTTTTTCTCAGTGCAGAATTGCTGGAATATTCAACCCTCACCAAGTATGGCAGATTATATATTTGTAAAAATGTTTGTTTCTTCTTCTTCATTTTCATGCTCTCCACTTTCTTCTGGATACTCATCAGCTCTCTTCTGTATTATGGTAATGAATTTATTAGTGTATTTTTCCCACCTCATATATGCCCACTTCCTAACCTATTTGACTAAATGATGTTTCAATGGCTTTCCATTACTTCATGTCTGAGTCCAGTTTCTTTACCATAGCGTAGCACACTTTGATAATTAATTCCCTTACCTACTTTCACTAGTACTGTGAGCTCCTCAAGTACAGAAGTTTTATCTTTGATTATATCTTTTCCGGCATTGGCACCTGGCATAGTGACTGTAGAAACAGTAGTTAAAGCATCTGGCTTGTGATTCATTTTCCTCTCATTACCAAGTGATGTTCCCAAAGAAAGAATGCAGGTAATCTAGTCTACTTTACTTTTAAACATGCTGATAATGATAACTAATGATAATGGCTTGGAAGAGATTCCTTATCAGTAGAATGCTCTTATCAAGGTGTCTCTGTTTTAGGATTACATATAATAAATATGAATAGATTTATGAAGCAAATTTCCCTGCAGAATATCATGTAAGCCATGTAATGATTTAACTTAATTATCATAAAATGGAGATAATTAATAACCTAACTGTTCCTTGCTTGCTGAGAAAATAGCTTATGTACCTTACTTAGAGACCACCTGTGTTACTTTGGATGGGCCAGAGTCCATGTTTAAAATGGAAAAGATGTGGGGAACCACATGGATGGCCCAGATCTCTATTTCACATGTGACTCTTAATTGTGTCCTTTAAATTATTAGTAAAGCTTGATACTAGCTGTGGTAGGCAGAATAATGTCCCATCAAAGATGTCCAGGTACTAAACTCCAGAATATGGGCTTATATTAGGTTACATGACAAAGAGGAACTAAAGCTGCAGCTGAAATTAGGATTGCTCATCTGGTGACCTTGAGATGGGGAGATTATCCTGGAATATCTGGCTGGATCCAATGTAATCATAAGGGCCTTTATAAGTGGAAGAGAAAGGCAGAAGAATGAGAACCATAGAAATGGCAACATGAGAAGAATGCAGCCCAACTTTGTTGGCTTTGCATTTATTTATTTGTGTGCTGTCTATGCTGTTCTTTAAAGATAAAAATAGAACTAACCTATGATTCAGGAAGTTAACTCCTTGATATATATCCAAAGGAAATAAAATCAATATCTTGAAGAGATAGCTGCATTCCCATTGTTCATTATAGCATCATTCACATTAGCCAAGAAATGGAAACAACCTAAGTGTCCATTGGTGAGTGAACAGATGGGTATCTCAAACTTAAAGGATGTATTCAACCTTAGAAAGAAGAAAATCTTGCCCTTTTCAACATCATGGATCAAGTTAGAGGACGTTATGTTAAATGAGAAAAAGTAGACACAGAGAAAAAATACCTCATGATCTCACTTGTATGTGAAATCTAATTAAAAAATCAAACTTAGGGCCGGGCGTGGTGGCTCACGCCTGTAATCTCAGCACTTTGGGAGGCCTAGGCGGGTGGATCACAAGGTCAGGAGATCGAGACCATCCTGGCTAACATGGTGAAACCTCATCTCTACTAAAAATACAAAAAATTAGCCAGGTGTGGTGGTGGGTGCCTGTAGTCCCAGATACTCAGGAGGCTGAGGCAGGAGAATGGCGTCAACCAGGGAGGCAGAGCTTGCAGTGAGCCGAGATCACGCCACCGCACTCCAGCCTGGGTGACAGAGTGAGACTCAGTCTTAAAAAAACAAAGAAACAAAAGAAAACAAACTTATAGTAACAGGGAGTACAATGGTAGTTACAAGAGGCTAGGGCTTGGGGAAAAAGGAAAGATACTGGTCAAAGAGTACAAACTTTCAGTTGTAAAATACTGTAGACCCAATGTAGATTGTGTTGACTATAGTTATTAATACTGTACTGTATGCTTGAAATTTGCTGAGAGAATACATCTCAGAATTTTCCTTTCAGAAAATCATTTATGCTTATGTTATAAAATGGGAGACAGATTACAACTTTGAAAATTAATCTCAATGATTAATGGTAAAAGAAAACTTGAAGAAGTGTATCACTGGTCAATACAACTCAATTTAATTTAATACATATTAAACATTGTTGATGTTTGAAGCAGCTTAGTAAATTCTATGGATGATTTTCTAAAGGACAATCACAAGATAATATTGTCCTTCATGAACCTACCACATAGAAGTAGGTAAATATAGATAATGTATGACAGTATTTTAGTGTTAAGGAACATTAAAATATAGTTACAAAATATTGTGAAAGCACTAAAAAGAAAAATGTTATGTGCTTGAGGGAAACAAGAAAGGCTTCATAAAGAAGTGTTCTTTGACTTAGTAAAGGAATAATTGCTATAATTTGGAAAAACAAAGGTGGATTCCTGTGTAAAGTTCTGTAGTGAAATTGTGGTATAAAGCATAAATACACACATTGAAGTAACTAGTTCAGGGCATATTTAAGAGGAGTCAAATATTCTATTTTGACTGTATTTTGCAAAGCCAAGCAAAGCCATGTTCTATGCTCAAAGGAGAGTGAGTCAGATGGTGCTGTGCCTTGGATACCATGCTAGGCAGGTGAAATGTATTTCCTGTAGCCAGTGGGGACACATTAAAGATGTTTGAACAGGGTACTGCTATGATTACAGTTGTACCTAAAAGGATTCTGTGGGCAGTTGTTGGCAGTTGTATGTAACAGAGATTAGAAATAAATAGACCTTTAGGAAGCTATTACTATTTTCAAAGAGGAATTTATAAGTAACACCATAAGTATACTCGACATGTCCATTTATGCCCTCTGGCATGCTGATTTTATACATGATCAATTCTTCTGTGCATTCTCCTATCTGCCCTTTGTAGATATTTTCTTTTCAAGATTTATATTACTTTTAAGCTGTATAATTAAATCCCGAAAACTAAAAAGTAGTCAAAAGAAAAAAATAACTTTAAATATTCTAAAGTTAGGGTCTAACAGATCATATTATCATTTAAACTCACGTTTACTAAGCATCCAATGGAAGTGTATGAACTCTTGTGACTTTAGAGCAAAAATCAACCAAAGGCCAAGTGTCTGCAATAATAAACCAGGACCCTAATACCATAAGAATAACAAAACCTATGCTTTCCTGCACCAGCAATACACCTCTTCCATAACAAAAAGCTTCATTAGTAAAGAAGATGCTATTTTAATGTATGAATGGAGTTTTAACTTTCTCATAAAACCCACTCTTTTCCTTTATTCTCAGGGATATCGTGACCAAATGCTTATTCACTGATGTCAATAATAATAAAGCTAACATTAGAGTATCTCAGCTGTGCTCCAGACACTGCTCTAAGAATTTAAATACATCAAATCATTTCATGCTCACTGCAATTTTATGGGGGAGCATTATTAATTCCAATTTAAAGATTTGGAAATAGGAGCACAGACAGAAGTTAAGTAACTTGTCTAAGATCACAGAAGATAGTCAGTGGTAGAGTTGAGATTTGAACCCAAGCAGTTGACTTTTAGAGTCCAACATCTTAAC